>NC_000001.11:53493228-53644744 GCF_000001405.40 Homo sapiens | reverse complement strand
CCCAAATGCACCGTTTAATTCTTTCCTTCTAATTTCCTCCTCTCCAGCCCAGCACACTGCCTCCTCCGGGCCCTGGTCCCATCTGTTCCCTCTGCTGGGCATACCCTTCACCACTCTGTGGTGCCCACCTTCAGCACCCTGCCCTACCCCAGCACCCCCATCCCCTTACTCTACTCAGTTGTTTTTGAAGAACTCTTCCCATTCTAATAGGCCGTATGTTTGACCTATTGATCATGTTTGTTATTTATGAGTCACCTCCTCTTCTGTACGGAAGCTCCAGGAGGGCAGGGATTTTTGTCTGTTTTGTTCACTGTCTTCTCCCAAACATCTATGACAGCCAGGATTTAATAGGTTTAATGAATTTGTTTGTGAATAACAATAATATTTGTTTAATGAAGAAAAATTCATCAATATTATGTCAGGTTGTATGATAAATAGTGATTTATCATGGCAGAGTGAGAGGCTGGAGGTGGACAGGATGGGGTACAGTTTTAGCTGGGCCGTCAGAGGCTCTCTGGGGCAGAGCCAAGTGGAGGGAGGGTGACCCGGCAGCCTAGCTGCAGTGGGAGCTGGTGATTGGGATGGTGGTAGGACAGAGAGAAAGAGGCAAATCAGCTGACCCTAAATGGTGTCTTGTAGAGACTTCTTCCAGAATATGAGAGTTGACCCTAACATGGAGCCTTGCTCCCCTCCCCCACTTTGCCCCTTCCTTTCAAAACAACTTGGCCTGGAACATTCTTTATCAGGGAAAGAACTCCAGGCTTGGCATTAGGAGGCCAGGGCTGGGCTCCCAGCTCACTGGATTACAGAGAGAGTAAGCCCCTGGCTCCGAGCCTCATCTTCCTCTTCTATCGTGTGGGGATTACACTCTGTACCCCCTAGCTTACTGGGGGACGTTTGGACAACCAGTTTGGAAGGGCCTCATTTCCTCCTGTCAGCCCCCGATGGCTGAAGTGCTAGGAGACCCCGGGGGTGCTGCTCCACAGGCTTCTCAGTTAACCCCTGGTGCTCATCGTAGCCCTGGGGTAGGAGGAGGCCTCACCCTCCCGCCGTTCGCTCATGTTCGTGGTGTGGAAAGTGAGGCAGAGAGAGCTTCCATAACTTGCCCAAGTCACATAGCTAGTAAGCCACAGCTTGAAGCTATAGTTGCCGTGTTATGCTGTGACCTTGGTTACTAGCACTGAGTCTGCCTCCTTGCTCCCTCCCCATGGTCATTGTACAGGTGGGGAGACTGAGGCCCAGATGGACACATAGCTTGTGAAGGCCACACTGTCTGTGCATGATGGAGTCTGAACTAGAACCAGGTCTCTAGGCTCTCAGCCCGTGGCTCACTCCAGGTCAAGTTCAGGTGACTCCACCCGCAGGGTTACCTGGAGGACAAGAGCATCTGGGAACACTACTGCCCCCAACCAAAGTCATAATGGGCCTCTTCCTGCTGCTCTGAAGGTTTGTTCCCAGGGCTTGCTGGGGCAACGTTAAAACTTTACAGAGCTGCTGGAGAGAAGCGGCCCAAGTGTAAATCAGGTTTATGGCCTGGATAATAAAGTGTCTGCTCCAATGGATACTTGATTCCTTGTGCCTCTTGATTCCTTCCATATGAAGCCCTCCACTTTTGGGTCACAACAGACCTTGGTGGTTTCGTTTGTTCGGGAACTAGGAACTGGGTCTTGTTAGTCCGAGAAGACGGGACTCAGAGGACTCAGACCACAGTCTGCAGGCCTCAGACTGTCCCAGCCCTGTGGTGGTTTGACAGCGATAGAACACGTTTCCTCAGCTCACAATTCCTGAGTTGTTTTGAGCTCACAATTCCTGAATTGCCTACTTGGTGCCAGGCCTGCACTGGGCACTGGGGACAGAGAGCTTCCAGATAAGGGTGGGACACAGACATGTGAACTAAGTTACAGTGCAGGGAACTGGGGAGGCCGGGCAGCCTGGTGGAGATCAGGGAGACTTCCCGGAGGAGGTGACGTTGAATCTGATACAAGACGGGTGAGTGGAGTTAAAACTGCAGTGGGAAGGGTGTTGCAGGCAGAGGGAATGGCAGACACAAAGACACAAGAAAGGAGAGAGCTTAGCTCATGTGAGGCTGGAAGGCAAGTCCTACAGCACAGAGGAAGAAGTGCTTTACTGTAGGAGATACCCAGAAGGCTTCCTGGAGGAGGTAGCACTTGACTTGGGTGTTACAGGATAGACAGGCGTTCATTAGCACCAACAGAACAAACCTTCTGTAAAGTCTTGAGAATACTGACTGGCATGGCGGTGTGGATACTATGAGCCATTCCAGCAGCGTATTGTGGCAGGGCCCCGAGGTGGAAGGCCTTATCGTTGCGTGGCAACCTGAAACTCTGACAGCACTGCAGAGTAGTGTGAAATAGGTGCAGGGAACCCAGCCTCTCCTGCCTGTAATGTCCAGAACAATCTCTCCAGTGCTCGCCTTCCATCAAAGCAAGACAGCTCCCCTGATCCCAGATTGCCAAGCTGCTGATGTTTATAATTACAGTGTCCCACCATCTGAATCTTTGTTCATCAGACTCCATTAGCCTGATTTATTTGATGGGCACCAGTCCTCGTAATGGGGAACAGAAACAGGGCAGTGTGTTGCCTTGGGATTCATCAGGGTAGGTGTGGCCTGGCCCCACAAGCTCTGGGCCTGCTGGACCACTGAGGTGTCCTGGCCTGGCCAGCTGGCCCCAGGAGCAGCCTCCAGGCCCCACACTTGGCAGTGCCTGGGAGTGGAGTGGGGTCAGGGAGCAGACACTCTTGTCAGGGAGAGCTTCGGGGTCAGCCCAGGATGGGAGGCACAGAGCAGCGGCCCTGGGATGGGACAGCCCTCAGCTTGAGACCTGGGGCTGGAGATTAAATGATGTGCAAGCTGTGGAGGTTCCCAGCACAGAGCACCCAGTGATCTTGAACTCCCTTGCTTTTGCAGCACAGATGGACAGATGGACCGTTCCTTCCCAAGAAGCTTGAGGAGAGGTGTCGGGTGTCAGGAAGGCGTGTTAAGAAACCACCCTCCACCACCAAGATGGCCCCTTTTTGGTGCGCCCTCGTCAGTACCACTCACCTACTTGTCCTTGTTTATTCAAGGCTCCATCATCCACAAAGTGCCCTTAGGCCCCCAATCTCTGTGTGACAACCCCACACCCACGGGCCAGAGTTTTTCACCCACATTTTTCAGGTGATGAGCCCAAGGGCCAGAGAGGGCAAGTGAGTTCTTCAAGGTCACACAGTCAGCAAGTGATATAGCCAGAACTTGCACCTGAGGCTCTTCTCAGAGTGCTCAGGTTCCTCTGGCCCCACCTGTTTTCCTCCTCCCCAGACTGCTGGAGCTCCTACGGCAGGCACTGGGATGTCACTGTAGGAAAGCTGTTCCTTCCCAGGGGAGCTTGCTGTCTGTTGGGAATGTCATCCACTGTCATTTAATCTCTAGGACAACCCTATGAGGCAGGTGTTGTTATCCCTATTTTACAGATGAGGAAACAGCCTCAGAAAGAGTAAGGACTTGCCCAAGGTCCAGCCCAGGTACTCAGCTGGAGGATGAGCACCTTTTGTATGCAAACCCTGGACTGGGCACTCTGATGGTTCCAAGAAGAGTCAACACCGCAGACCCTGCCCCGTGGTCCCCCAAGATATTCAGGGACTCTCTCTATGGAGGTATTCATTGCTGCCAGGCAATAGTATGGGCCCTTTTCTACATTTCTGCCCCAGGGTCAGGTTTAAACCATCCATCATCAGCTGGGCCTGTCTCCCTGTGCTTTTGAAGTCCCCGGTTCTGTTCCCTCCAGAGGCCTAAGAGTGTGCCTTCAGCTCTTCCTTTCCCCCACGTCTTCTTAATCTCGCAGTCCTGCTGTGCATCTCAGCCAAGCCCAGACTCCGGGAGCTGCCTCAGTACAAGCATGAGCGTGTGTGTGTGTGTGCACATGCATGAAAGGGGCATGGGGTAGGGGAGGGAGTGGCAGAGTGGCTTAATGTAGTATCCCAGACTACTGCCTGGGTTTTAAATCCTGGCTTTACCTCTTTGATGACTTTGGGCACGTTACTTACTTTCCCCTTCTGTATGATGGGCACAGTGACAGCGCTTGTCACAGGGCTCTGGGGAGGAGTGGAGGACAGTCCAAGTGAAGTGCTCAGAGAGGGGCCAGCACATAGCAGGTGCTCAGTGGATGGCTGCTGCTGTCAGACTCTAAACAGCCACCCTACAGGCAGGAGATCCAGGCTCCACAGGAGAGCGGGGTGCTGGGGGCCTGAGGATCCCAACTGTCCAGCCCCCAGCTGTCAGATGAAAAACTGAGACCCAGGGAGGGACAGGCCAGGATTTTCACCAACAACGGTGTAGAGTCACTTGCCTGCTTTTAAACCTGGCTCCCAGCCTTTTTATATTCCTCCCATTTGGTTACAACCAAAAGGAGTCAAACCACTAATTTGCTGTGGATGCAGCCCTGGGTATTTTTCTTTCTTACTGGGCATTCTTCACAAAGGGGCTTTGTGGAGCCTCCGGAAGGCAAGGTAGTGTTTGCCCTGCCTGACCCTGGCTGCCTGGGGAGCTAGCTGGCTCAGTGATGCCAGGCATGGTACCCCACCTCTGACTTTGGGTTGTCCCATCCTGCTGCACAGGGCACCTGCACTCCTCTGACTGCTTTGTGACCTAGGGCTAGTATGTCCCTTCTCTGAGCAATCATAATAATCATAATAGTGACAACTTAATGAATAAAATGTGCTTGGCACTATGGAAGCACCTCATATATATTTAAATCTCACCATGCTCGTGTTTGTTAAGTGTAGTATCCCTGTTTCTGTGGAAGTATAAACTGAGGCTCAGTGACGTATCAGACTTGGGATTTGAACCCAGGACTATTAGCAGCAAAGCCACAGCTTTTAAACAACATCCACATTTGCCTACTTTCCTCAGTGGCAAAGCAGAACCTCGGGGCAGCTGTGAGGAGTATAGTCCTGGGGGAGAAGGGTTTGCATACATTGAAGCCCACAGCAGTGCTCCTGGTCCTTGAGACTGGCTTCCCAAGCCTGGAGGTTTATAAATATTCACTGAGTAAACCTGAGTATGCTGTCGGCCCAGGATAGCGGGCTGGAAAAAAAAAGCCCCACCCTGTCTCCGAGGTAAGACAGGAAAGAAAATATTATCGTCACCCTCTGGTGGATCCAGCTCTAGGCCTCCGTCAAATTGTGAATCACCTGAGAGTCTGGTTTCGCTGCAACCACAGAAAAGGGCCAGGGTTCCAACCAAAACAGCCTGTGCGCATCTGCTTGGAATTTACTGATTGATTTATGGGGTGCCTCCTGCCAGCCCCGAGAGGGACAGGCGTTCTCAGAGTGGCGGCTCAGTCCAGCCTCCCAGACGGCTGCTGCCACCCTGCGGGCCAATGGGAGATGGGAAGGAGAGCAGCCTGCAGGGAGGGGACACCTCCGAACGAGGGTGGGACTGGTGGAGCCCACTGGCACTTTCTGGATATGCCATCGCCCTGCCAGCCCGCAGCTCCCTTAGTGTAATGCTGGAGAGTGTGGCCAGTGTCATGTGGGTACTCTGCATCGGCTGGTGTGGCTTCATCTCTAGAATGACTCTGTGGGTGTAGGTATTATTGACTCATTTTACAGATGAGGAAACTGAGGCTCAGTCAGAATAAGGACTGGCTCAAAGTCACACAGTTAACCAGTGGCAGATCCTAGTTTCAATCCTTTGATTCAGGGGCCGGTGCTGTCAACCACTCTGAGAAACTGGAAGACCTTGGCGTCATCTGGTCCAAATTGTTCCTTCTGCCCTCCACTCCCTGCCCCAGTTTGTGCATGAGGAAGTCCAGACCACAAGAGGGACTGTGATTGTCTGAAACCTTCAGGTCACCCAGGGCCAACCCAGAGCCTGGCAGTCCCCCTTCTGCTATGACTTGCCTCCTGGTCAGGGCCCGCCTCGTCATGTGCTCCCCCGGCCACTCCCTCCAGGGTTTACCCTCGTTTTCATGTCCACTGGCTGCCCCTGCCCCACTCCTTGTTCTGGGTGTGGGGGGTTCTAGGGTTGGAAGGGGCTTATTGACAGGGAGGTAGGCTGGCCAGGTCCTCACGGGATGTGCAGTTGGGACATGGACACTGGACTCTCTGCCCCCAGACGCCAGGGTCTTTGCCATTGCTCCATGGGGCCTCAGAGGCCCTGCTGGGGTCATGAGGCTTTGGGATTGGGTGGCAGTGGGGTTGGGGGGCAGTGGGGAACAAGGGAGGACAGACTGGGCTCAGGACTGGCTTGGTCACAGCTAGATTCTCACTCTCTGTAGTGGCTCCTGGTTAACCCTGTGTGGGTCTCTGCGTCATCTTTCAGCTGGGGCCTGAACTGGCCTGGGGGAGGCCTGCCCCTTGGGGCCAGTGTCTGTTTTGCTCAGCTTGGTTTCCTGCAGGCAACACCCGTGTGGTTGCTGTGATGGGAACGGACCACGTTGTCTTTGGGTTATGGTATCCAGCACCATGCGGGCCTGTGGTTATCATCTGTCACAATGCAGAGAAACAAGGAACCCTCCCTTTCCCCGAGGTGCCTTCTCTGCTTCCCCTCCCACATATATTGCATCTCTCAGGCCAGGACTTCCCTGACCCTTACACCGTGTGGCCTCTGTGCTTCTCCCCGTGGCAGTCCCCACCACATGTGTGGCTCCAGACCACCAGAGTGATCCCTCTAAACCCAGATGGGATACTGGCTCCCTCCCTCTCTCAGGATTATAACGTTCAGGCTGCAGGCTTTGGCCTGCAGGGGCCAACATCTCCCATGGGTGTCCAGCTGGTCCCCTGGCACTGATGGCCCTCCAGCCAGGCCCCAGAAACACCAGCTTCCTCCATGCCCCTGTCCTCTGCACAAATGTATTCTGTTCCAGGAACACGCTTCTCTCCCCTGACTGTCTGGCCCAGGTCTGGCCATCACTGCTTGATACATGGTGAGAGCTCTGCAATTGGTAGCTGCGCAGGTGCTCACAAGGGGGATGGTGACATTTCCCCACAATGGTACAGTCACTGCGAGGCCACCAGCCAAAGCCTGCAGGACCCTTGTATGTTGGATGTGGAGTGTCTGTCCTAGGGCAGCCTAGGCCCTGCGGGTATTATTTTGAGTCTTGCCCAAGGTTATGGGTGAAAATGAGCAGCAAATCAGCCGTATGTGTACTTTTCTTCCCCTAAGACTGCAACAGTTTGACTTTGCCATCCTCAGGCTATAGTCCATATTCTTGAACCTCGGGTGTGGGAATGGGCTTTAAGGTATGTGCACCATCTTATCAGTGCATTCATGTGTTTTAGGGGAGCTGGGTCCACGGTTCTCACAGATAGAAGAGTGACCTCTCTGGTCTCATTGCTGCACTCACATCGTGTCACCCTCAGGGACCCACTTGTAGCTCCCCATCCCTGGGTATCCTCCCGTCATCACCCTCCTTCAGACATGAACATCCACTTGTCATTTATTCCTCAGTTTAGAGGCTCCTTCCTCCTGGGAGCCTCTTCTGACCTTGTGGCTGGGTGAGGTACCTGCTTGCCCCACAGACCCCTGTGGGGCTCTGGCTGTGTGGCCATTGCCAGCCTGCCGGGGGGAGCTAGGTGTCAGTGCCCACCAGCCCAGGGCTGGCACAGAGGAGCTGCCCAGTGCACAGCAGTGGAAGTGGTCTCCTAGGGAAGAAGCCAGTGCATGTTGGTGAGTGGGAAGGCCCCACTGAGGAGGCAGCATCCTTCTGTAGCTCCCATGTCCAGTCACCCTCACGTCCTGCAGCAAGCGCTCACTGCGACCTGTTGTACGTGAGGGGCTAGGGACCCAGAGGTGAGTCAGACCTCGTCCTGCCCACGAACAGAAGGAGCTGAGGTAGGGACACTGCAGCTCACAGAGTAATACAGGAGTGGTCCCTGCACTGAGTGT
This sequence comes from Homo sapiens, assembly GCF_000001405.40. Taxonomy (NCBI): domain Eukaryota; kingdom Metazoa; phylum Chordata; class Mammalia; order Primates; family Hominidae; genus Homo; species Homo sapiens. The sequence continues at coordinate 53,636,856 of NC_000001.11, read as the reverse complement.
GGCCCCTTAGGAAGCAAAGTCAGAAACAGCGCAGGTGGAGAGTGGCGTGAGTCAGAAAATGCAGGTGAGTGCATGGGCTCCCAGAAGGCCCAGTAGGCGTCGCCGAGTGACTGAGTGAGGGAGCAGGTAGACTGAAGACAGGTGATGCTCAGGGTGAGCTGAGAGGTGACAGTGATGAGTGGGCTGGGGTCAGAGAAGCCTGGGTGTGGGTGTCAGCTCCTTCACAAGTCCTTCCTCTTCTGACTTCTCTTCCTTGCCTTTCCATGCTCCCAGAGCCTTACACAGAATGTCCAATAGGAGCAGTGATGGCAGACGTCTTGCTTCCAATATCTATTCAGCATTTTACTACCAACTGTGATATTTGCTGTTGGCTTTTTGCAAATATTCTTTATCACATTAAGGAAGCTTTTTTTTTTCTTTTCGGGGTTGGTTAATGTTTTTATTTTAAAATCATGAGTGGATGTCGAATTTTTATCAAATGCTTTTTTCTGCAATTGTTGAGATGATCATAGGGTCTTCTTTTAAAATCTACTAATGTGGTGAATAGCGTTAAGTGATTTTCTAATGTTAAATCAACTTTGAGTTCCTTGGATATACCTGACTTGGTCATGATGTATTTTTCCTGTTTTTATGCTATTGGGTTTCATTTGTTAATATTTTATTTAGAATTTTTGTGTCTGTACTCATGAATGAAATTAACTTGTAATTTTCCTTTCTTATAGCCTCCTTTTTGAGGTTTAATGCCAAAGTTTTCCTAGCCTTATACAGTGAACTGGAGAGTATTCCCCCTTTTTCTAGTCTCTGGAAGAATGAGTATAAGAATAGAATTATTTCTTTCTTGAATGTTGGATAGCAATTACTGGAAAAGCCAACTGGGTCTGGAGTTTTCTTTATGGGAAGATTTAAAACCATTAATTCAATTATGTTAATATCTATTGGACTATTTAGTTTTTCCGTTGTCTTTATCAGTTTTGATAAATTATATTTTCCTAGGAATTTGTCCATTTTGAGTACATTTCACAAATTATTTGCTTGAAATATTCATGATATTCTGTAAACATCTTTGTATTGCCTGCAGCATAAAGTGTTGTCTCAGTTTTATTCCTGACACTAGTTATTTGTGCCTCCTCCTTCTTTCTTGTGGTCTTTGTCAGTAGTTCAAGAGCTGATTTTATTCATCTTTTCAAAAAACCAGCTTTAGTCTTGTTTATGATCCTATTGTAGTGTGTGCCTGTGTATATATATTTTCTATATTGCTGACTTTTGCCTTTATAGTTTCTCTTGCTACTTCATTTTGCTTTTTTTTTTTAACATCTTGTGGTGGATATTTAACTTATTAAGTTTCAACACTTCTAACAAACACATTTAAGACATTAAAATCATAAATTTTTTCTTAGGGAATATGATAGCCATATTCCAGAAGTTTGAATATGTAGCATTTTCATTATTAATTATTTCAAAATATTTTAAATTTCCGTTATGTTTTTGATTCCGGTTGTAGGCCATGTTTCTTAATTTCCAAATATATGAGATTTCTGATTGTCTTTTTCACATGTGGCCAGAGGACATGTTTTGTTCATTTCAATTCTTTGAACTATCGAGGCTTGCTCTATGGCCCAGTCCACGGTCGGTTTCCTAAGTATTACTGTGGACCCTCCTTTCACTTGCTCAAAGCCACCACTGCTCCTGCCGTTCTCCCTTCTCTTTCCTGCATCAATTTTTGCCCCTCTCCTGGATCATCCCTATCAGCATACAATCCTGTTGTTATTTCTTGAAAAAAGAATTAAAAAAAAAACAACAACAGAGACAACCTCTGTTGACTCTACATGCAACTACAGCCTCCTTCCCATTTGTCTAAGCCTGGACTCCCCTGAAAGCAGAGATTGTCATGCTCTGGTCTAGGTAATGTTCCTGGGAAGTGATCCCAGGGAGCAGGAATGAGATGGGGGATGGAAGGCGGTGGGGAGCCAATGCATTAATGAGCTGCAGGAATGCATCTCAGTGTTGTCAAGGGGAAGCGTTTATTCGTGGGCTTCCATACCCCTGGGTCAAGGTGGCTCCAGAGGCATTAACCCCCACCCACTCTGGGGTTGGACGTGTGAGGTGGCCTCGCAGGTGCTTGCTACTGTGGAAGCTGCCTTCAATTGGCCGCAGCTGCAGTGGCTGGAATAGCGGTGGGGCCGAGAGGATGTCACAGGTGCTAGAAGAGTCCAGAGCCCATTGTTGTCTATGCCCAATGTCTCGTTTCTCTCCCCGCATTCCCTCACAAATGAACTCTAGTGAGGCCCTCCTCGCTCCACCCTCACATTGGGCAATTCTCAGGCCTCATTTTGTCTGTCTTGTAAGCAGCCTTGACACAGCTGAGCGTTCTACACGCCTGGAAACGCTTCCTTCTCACAGCTTCAGGACGCCACTCATGCCTGGTTTCCTTCCCCTCTGGCTACTCTTCCTCAACTCCCTGACTTCTAAACATTGGCGAGCTCAGGGTTTAGCCCTTGGACCCTTTCTTTTCTTTTTATATTCATTCCTTTGTGGTCTCATCTGTATTACTGCATTTCAAACACTGTCTACTTGCTATGGATCCAAAGTTATCTCCAGACCTGAGCTGGCTCCTAAACTGCAGATCTGCTGGTAGACACTGTTCAGCATTTCCATTTGTGTGTCTAAACATGTCTAAAACTTTTGTGACCAGCATCCGGCTCCTGATGTCCTCCCCAAACCCGTTCCTTCTCCCATCGTCTCCATCCCAGGAAACGGCAACTCCATCTTTATAAGACTTCAGGATGAAAACTTTGGCGCCATCCTTGGCCTTTCTCTCTTACTCCCTGATAACTGATTTGTTGATAAATCCCGATGCCTCTGCACTCACAGTGGATCTGGAATCCAGCTACTTCACCCACTCTTGGCTGAAGCCGCCATGATTCTCTGTTCACTGGTGGATTCGTGATCTCATAACTGGTCTCTCTGCCATTGCACCCATTGGCACAGTGGCCAAAGTGATCCTGTTAAAGTGGTTCTCAGCTGGGGCAATTTCTCCCCCTATCCCCCCCACGCCGAGACATTTTTGATTCTCACACCTGGGTGTGTGCACGCATGCATGTGGATGTTACTAACCATCCTGCAATGCATAAGACAGCCCCCAAGAACAAAGAATTATCCAGCCCCAAATGTCAGTAGTGCTAGGATTGACACACGCAGTGTTGAGACACAAGAAATGTTGCTTTTCTGCCTAAAACTCACGAAGTCCTAATTTCTTCCAGACATGGAGGTAAAGGAAGAGCCACACAAGGACCGAGTCCCTCTGTGGTCCCCCGTCACACACATTCACACGCACTTCAGTCACACTCATTCACACCCCTCAGCCACACTCATTCACACACCCCTCAGCCACTCATTCACACCCCTCAGTCACACTCATTCACACCCCTCAGTCACACTCATACACACACCCCTCAGTCACACTCATTCACAAGCCCCTCAGTCACACTCATTCACATGCCCCTCAGCCATTCACACGCCCCTCAGCCATTCACACGCCCCCCAGTCACACTCATTCACACGCCCCTCAGCCACACTCATTCACACCCCTCAGTCACATATTCACACGCCCCTTCACACGCCCCTCCAGTCACACTCATTCACACTCCTCAGTCACATTCACACCTCACAGTCACATTCACATGCCCCTCGGTCACACTCATACACACGCCCCTCAGTCACACATATACATGCCCCTCAGTCACACTCACACACCCCTCAGTCACACTCATTCACACGCCCCTCAGCCACACTCATACACACGCCCCTCGGTCACACTCATACACATGCCCCTCGGTCACACTCATTCACACCCCTCAGTCACACTCATTCACACACCCCTCGGTCACACATATACACGCCCCTCAGTCACATTCACATGCCCCTCAGTCACACTCATTCACACCTCTCATTCACATTCATTCACACGCCCCTCAGTCACACTCATACACATGCCTCTCGGTCACATACATACACGCCCCTTAGTCACACTCATTCATACACCTCTCTCACTCCCCCTTTCTCCTCAGTCACACTCATTCACACATCCCTCAGTCACACTCATACACACGCCCCTCGGTCACACATATACATGCCCCTCAGTCACACTCATTCACACCCCTCAGTCTCATTCACACTCATTCACACACCCCTCAGTCTCATTCACATGCCCCTCAATCACACTCATTCACATGCCCCTCCGTCACACTCATTCACATGTCCCTCAGTCACACTCATTCACATGCCCCTCAGTCACACTCATTCACATGTCCCTCAGTCACATTCACATGCCCGTCACACACATTACACCCCTCAGTCACACTCATTCACATGCCCCTCAGTCACACCCATTCACATGCCCCAGTCACACTCATTACACCCCTCAGTCATATTCATCCACATGCCCCTCAGTCACACTCAAACACCCCTCAGTCACACTCACACACCCCTCAGTCCCATTCACACACCCATCTGTTACACCCCCAGTCTGTCACACTCATTCACACACCTCTCCCTTACTCTCCCTTCTCCTCAGTCACACTCATTCACATGCCCCTCAGTCACACTCATACACATACCCCTCAGTCACACTCAGTCACACGCCCTTCAGTCATTCACTTGCCCCCTCAGTCACTCATTCACATACCCCTCAGTCACATGCCCCTCACAGTCACACACCCCTCAGTCACACTCATTCACACACCCCTCAGTCACATTCATTCACACACCCCTCAGTCACACTCATTCACACATCCCGCACACTCATTCACACACCTCTCTCTTACTCCCCCGGTCTCAGTCACACTCATTCACACGCCCCTTAGTCACACTCATTCACACATCCCTCACACTCATTCACACACCTCTCTTTTATTCCCCTGTCTCTCCTTTTTTTCTTGCTCTATGGCTTGCTCCACACCAGCCCACTGGCTTCTTGCTGATCCTGGCCATTAGTAAGGTCTGCTGCTCCCTCAGGGCCTTGGCACTGGCTGTTCCCTCTGCCTGAAATGCCCTCCCCCGAGACCCAGACACTCATATGACTCAATCCCTCACCTGCTTCAGGTCATTACCCGTTACACTTCTCAGTGAGGCCTTCCCTGAACACCCCATATAAAAGTGCATCCTTCCTTCAGATATTTCATATGCCCCTTCCTGTTTTATTTTCCTGTATACCACTAACATTCTGTATAATTTACTTATTTCTTTTGTTTATGTCCCCTGTTAGAAGATGAATGCCATGAAAGCAGAGATTATTATCTGTTTTATTCACTGCTGTATCCCAGCACCTAGAATAGTCTCTGGCACATAGCAGGTACACAACAAAAATGTGATGACTGAATAATGTTTTGTAGAGTGTAAGTACATACATGTGATATTTATGATTATTATAACTCTCTGGTGTTGCTCAGAGATGGTGGAAACCCTGCCATAGGGATCTTAAAATAACACAGATGGGGGCAATTGGTTAACTATTTGGGGGAAAATAAAGTTAAATCCTCACCTACATTATCTTGCAAAATATATTCCAGATGGATTCAGGAGTTAAGTGTGAAAAATGAAACCACCCACAAAAAATTAGAAGGTATTGTAGGGAAATATTTATCTGTTGTCTGGTTGGAAAAGGACTAGCTTTACATAAATCACAAAAGTAATTGCAACTAAAAAAACCCGTTAGATTACACTACTTGAAAAGTTAAAACATTTTTATGGGGAAAAAGTTATAAACAGCAATAAAAGGCAATAAAAAATTGGGAAGAGTATTTGCTACAAAGAGCAAACCTGATATCCTTACTACATTAAAAAGCTCTCACAAAATGATGAGAGAAAATGCATAAAGGACAGGAACAGACACTTGGCAGAGGAAGAAATACAGATAGCCAAAAAGTATTTTCAAATATTCGCCCCCACTAGCTATAAAGCTCAAATAAAAAAATGAACTATCATTTCAGTCTTGCACATTAGCAGAGAGAAAGGAAATCCTATTGCTCTTTGTTGATGTGTGCAATGAAATTGGCTCCCTCTGGCTGGGCACGATGGCTCATGCCTGTAATCCCAGCACTTTGGGAGGCCGAGGCGGGTGGATTGCCTGAGGTCTGGAGTTCGAGACCAGGCTGGCCAACATGGTGAAACCCCATCTCTACTAAAAATACAAAAAATTAGCGAGCCATGGTGGCACACACCTGTAATCCCAGCTACTTGGGAGGCTGAGGCAGGAGAATTGCTTGAACCCGGGAGGCAGAGGTTGCAGTGAGCCAAGATTGTGCCATTGCACTCCAGCCTGGGCAACAGAGTGAGACTCTGTCAAAGAAAAAAAAAAAAAAGAAAGAAATTGGTCCCCTCACAGTCACTGGTGGGAGTATAAATTGGGCTGATCTTTCTGGAGGGCAGTTTGACAGTGTGTTCCATGAGCCTGGAAAATATTCAGCCCTTTTGGCCCAGGAATTCCTCCCCTTGGAAGTTTTTCTAAGGAAGCATTTGGAGAGACAGACAGTGATTTATATGCAAGAGCACCCATCACAGCATTATTTATAATGGCAAAAAAATTGGAAACAACCTCAATGTCTAACAACAGGGAATTGCTAAATAAATCATGGTGTGATATCATGATGGAATATTATGCAGCCGTTCTAAAGATGGCTTTTGAAGAACCCCTAGTGACAAAGGAAAACACTCATGATTTGATATTTAGTGTAACAAATAATAAATGTCAATGTAGTCAGATGCTAAATATCTGTATGTATGTGTATGCATACACACACAATAACATAGAAAGTTGTAGTGAAAAAATGAATATATCAAAATCTGAGCAGTCTGGGAGATGCAATTATGGAATTCTTTTTTAGTTTTTGAAGATTCACCCCCAATTCACGAATGAACGAGCACAGTCAACCATACATATCTCTCAGAAAGGAAAATCCAAGGCATTTCCATATTGAATGGCCTAGGGTGGCCTTCTCAAGGCCTGCATGTGTGCAGGAATGGTCAAGAAGGCTCTCTGGGCTTGTGGAGCTTGTATTCAAGTGGGACAGACAGATAATGAGCAAATATAATAATATGTAGTAGGCAGTGTGTGTGCTGAGAAGAAAAAGAGAATGACGGGGTTTGAGGAAGGTCAGGCCTCTTGCAGGAAGGTGATCCTGATGACAAGAAGCAGCCACTGCAACTGTCCAGGCCCATGGGCAGAGGGGACAGAAGGAGGAGCAAGCTCACTGTGTCTAAGATGTGGGAGGAGGCCGGTGTGGTGGTGGCACGCTGGGGAAGAGTGGAACAAGATGCCCAGCCATGCCCTTGGCCCTCCTTATCTTTGGATCAAGTCCTGTTCTCGAAGCCCATCTCATGCTGTTCATTTCTAGGGCACCATTAAGAGCCAGGTGCTGTCAGGCAGCGAGACTAGAAGAATTAACAGTGTGGGGTAGGAACAGCTGGGGCCATCTGTGCCGCATGATGCTACAGAGTGATAGCAACTGCCATGTGGGCTGGCTCATGGGCTGTGAAGCACAGAGGGGATTGGGGAGGGCTTCAGGGAGGAAGCATTTGAGCTGGGCCTTGAGGGATGGGTAGGAGTGAGTCCCCAGGTTAAAGTGGGTAGAAAGGCATCTCAGGAGGGAGAACATCATAAAGCACAGAGTAGGGGCGGGGTTGCATCCTTGGCACATCACGGTAAGGGTAGATAGCTGGAGAGCCTGGGCTGTATGACTGTGTGGTGTGTGTGTGTGTCCCTGTGTGTGGATACATCCTGTGTGTGTACATGTCCCCATGTGTGTACATGTGCATGCAGTCTGGGAGATCAGATCAGAGAGGTGAGATTCGATTTGATCTACCTGAGCAGAGCCCAGATTTATTTTTCAAGTTCCCCAGGTCGTTCTGATGTGCCAGACAGTTTGGGACCCACTGCTGTGGATGGAAGTCTTGGAGAATTGTAAACAGACGAGCCAGGATTCTGTCCTGTGCCCAGGAGCCTTCCCCGATGGCCACCCCTTCTGACCTCTCAGGGTGCTGTTTCCCGTCCCTATATTGTAGCCTTTGGTTGTTAAATCCATCCCGTCTCCACCCTGTGGTTTTGTATCACATTTGAGTCTGATGATCAGCACCCAGGAGACTGAGCTTAGACCTGCTAGGTGATGAGTGGGGTGGGGCTTTGACGGTGGAGGGGGTGCCTGTGGGTGGGTGCACATCCCGCTTGATCTTGACCAAGTGGCTTCGGCTTCTGAGAGTTAGGTTCCTCTCCCTTAGGTGGGAATAATTGTCTCTCCCGCCTAGGGCTGATGGTGTTAAATTCGTGGATAAAGTGACTGGTACTCAGGTGTAAGCCTGGCGAACGCACTCTGGTGCACAGTTCTGTCCCCAGTGCTGTACAAGGTGGGCATTCAAAAGCGTGTCGAGTGAGCCAGTACAGTCCCTCCCATGGCTCTCCTGCCCTTGGTAGATGTGATGCTGGTGTTCAGGGTGCTGGGACGTTGAGCATCTACTGTGTGGCCATGGGAGAATACAGAGGTGGATAAGGTCAAATCTATTGAGGCTAGCTCTCTAGTGACAAATAAGACAAACACTAAAATGCTGTCATCTGGGGCACACTATTGAGATCAGAGACCCAGGCCAGGTCCTAGCATAGACACAAGCTCAGGAAATGACCACTAAAGGCACCCCAGGTACAGCAAGGCACAGCAAGGCACAGCAAGGGCACAGCAAGGCTAAAGGCCTGGCTCTGGAGAAGTGCATGGGTCACTTGGGGGACTGGCCCCTCAGGGCTGGAGTGCTCATACCCTTGCTGTCTCTCCCTCTCCCCCAGGTTCAGTGTGCTCTCAGACGGGGTCCTCCCTTTTCACCTAAATTCTATTGGGCAGAAAGAGCAAGGGCTTTAGAGTCAAGAGACACAGGCCACATAGCCTGGAGCAAGCTATCTTGGAGCATCTTGGGGTCCTCATCCATAAAATGGGGACAATAGTGTCTTCTTCACATGGTTGGCATTGTGGCTTAAAACAAGTCATGCCAAGCCCAGTGCCTGGCACACAACAGGTACATAATGCTAGTGCTTATGTCCCTCCTCCCCTCCACCTCCTCTCTGGTTGATACTCAGCTTTAGGAGGTCCCCAGTGGACTCCCCAGCCAGGCACATTGGCCCTGCATTCTGCTATCTCTTTAAGATAATAAATACGAACAAAACCGAAATCCATTATTAGCTTCTTCTAGACTGTCTGCATGATTTATGGCTTCAAAGTGCGTCTAGTTAATCTGTCGAAAGGGATTTTAAATTTCATTCGTCTTCCCTTCTGGCAGCCCCCTCTACCTTGAGTTCAGCTGTTTGACATGTCTAGTACTGGGGTCCCATTTTAAAAACATTTACAGTGGGCTGGGGGAAAAAAATCGGAGCTGGAGCAGCAAGCGGGAGGTTCAATTTGGCACATCTGCTTTGAATTCCACGCATCTCCACAAGCGCAGATAACTTGAAAGTTCGCTCAGGGAAGCGGTCCGGTGCCCACGAGGACTGCCTTAGGTGACTTTAAAGGAGAGGGGGATAATTACTGAAAATGAATTGTCACTGAAATAGAACCCTCCCGATCGGCCAGCTGACCATCTGTGGCTCACATGTGCAGGCCGCCCACACCTCCCCCTCCCAGGACTACCTAGCGTTCAGCTCTTTGGTTTTGTAAACCTCTGCCTCCCAGGCCATTCAGGTAATGCCTTGTTCGAGATTCATGCTAACTGGGGCTGTATAGTTCTCAGTGTGGCTGTGGTTGTGGGACCCGGAACGAGGGCCTAGGCAGAAACTGCCCAGGATTCAGTTCAGCAGACGTGTGGTAAGGGCCTCGGCACGTCAGGCCCTGGAGAATGTGTGTTCACAGTGCTCTACAGTTTACAAAGCCCTTCCACATTTATCACAGGTGGGGAAGCTGAATTGCATGCATTTATTTATTCAGCGAAAATGAATGAATCCCCCATGGTGGGCTGGTTGTTGGTTGGATGCAGGATGCAGGGGCATGTCAGCCACAGCTCTGTCTGCAGGCACGGGAGCCAGATGATGCGGGAGTGGACCCTGGGGTCTGCACCTCGGAGGAGCAGAGCAAGGATGTGTAGGAAAGTTGCACTGAGGGCATCACTGAAGCTGGGCCTCACAGGATTCATGCATGTAGCAGATACTTGGTGAATTTCTGTTCTGAGCCAGGCTGTGTTCTCAGATCTTGGTTGTCATCAAAATAGACCAAGCCCCTGCCCTCAGCGAGCAGAAAACAAAGATGTCAACAGATAAGCAAGATGCTTTTAAATAATGATGAGTGCTATAAAGATGGTAGAGCAGGATGGTATGATTGTGAGACTTCTCAGGTCAGGGAGGGCCTCCACGGCCAGCTCAGGGTCCCCTGGATGCAGGCTGGGGAGTAGCAGCCCTGGGAACAGGAGCCACAGAAGAGGGTTTGGAGCAGAAGGGGGTTCCTGAGATGAGGTGGCAGTGTGCAAAGGCTGAGGCTGCTGGCTCTCGAGGACAGACTTGGCAAGACCGGAGGGAGGGGTGTGGTGGAGGGAGGCTGTCCCCTGGGGAAGTTATGGGTTGTGTCTGCTGTTTATTTATGTGACTCTAGCTGGATTAGCAACCCCACTAGCTGCAGTAATGGGAACTTCACTATTTGGCCAGGTTCTGGTCATGCCAAAGAGAGGTGTGGGCTTGTAGCAGAGGAAGCTAGAGCCTTGGAACCATGCCCTGCCCTCGTTTGCCATTCCTAAGAGCGGCCCTCACTCCGGGCCTGGTGGTTCTGCCAGGAAGCAAAGGGATAGTGTACCCATTGTCGTGAGCCCTAGAGAGCAAGTGGGTGCCTTCCCAACAGCTCCAAGATCACTTAGCCCTGGCATCTGGGGCCAACCCAGACCTCTGTGGAGAAGGCAGGTCACCTCTGATAGGAGAGACAGCTACTGCCAGGTTGGCATGAGCTTCTCTGTGCAGCGTTATGGCCACCTGCGCCCCTGTGCTGGCTGCAGGGCCTGGTCCTCAGCCTATACTTGGGCACTGTTTCTGTGTAGACGGATGGATTGACCTGAAGGGGGGATTGGGAATTAAGTATGGGTTTGAAACAGTTTCTTCTCTGAGTCTCTCCTTTTCTCATCTGCAAAATGGAGAAAATGTGAGGATTAAGATTTTCCTTACAAAGCATCAGGGCTGGCTCCAGACACAATAGGAGCTCACTCCATGGTGGCTGTATATCCCAGAGAAAGAGCCAGGGTTGGGCCTGGGGGATGCCATCTAAGATGGGGAGACAAGAATGTCAACAGGAGATGTGCAATCAATGTTTTTTGAATGACTACTTGAATGAATTAATGAATGAAAATGGTTTGCTTATTGGGATTTAGTTGTGTCAAGGCCGAGCTATGGAATCTATGACTTCATCACAGTAGAAGATGAAGTCCAAGGTTACTGATGTGTCACTCAGGCCCCATCTGTGCCAGCCCCTGACTTCTTACTTCCTGGGCTTCCTGGTCCCAGATCCGCAATACTCAAAGCCCCCAAATAAATCCAGCTGTTGCATGCCTCTGGCCAGATGCTGGCCTTGCACTTTTGATGTTCTTGCCCCATCTTCCTGGCAAATACTCTTTCAGGGTCATCTCCTCATACTCATACTCAAGAGTCATCTCCTCAGGGAATTTTTTCTGACTCCTTCCTGCTCAGAAGCAAGAAAAGGAGGTCAATACTAATGAAGCCAGGTTTGTCATCCAGGCCTGGAGCGGCCAGAAGCTGGACTTGCATTTGTTTTCTCTTTGGACTGGCTGTGAAGAATGCAGTCCTTCATGATAGAGCAGTCATCAGCCCTTCAGTGGGTGTCCAGTTACAAAAATTCAAACAGACTAGGATTGCTATTGCCCCCTGGTTTTATTTTAATTTCTCCAGAGCATCTTTGCACCTTCTCATGTGTGTGTCTTCTGTTGAGAAGTGTCTGTTCAAGTCTTTTGTCCATTTTTAAATTGGGTTGTTTATCATTTTATTATTAAGTTATGAGTTATTTATATATTCTGGATACAAGCCTTGTTGGAGATATATATGTATATATATGGAATATTTTCCCCATTCTCTGCCTTGCCTTTTCACTTTCTAAATGGTGCTTTTTAGAGAACAGAGATTTTAAATTTTAGCTGGGCATGGTGGTACATGCCTGTAGTTCTAGCTTCTCAGGAGGCTGAGGCAGGAGGATCACTTGAGCCCAGGAGTTCAAGGCTGCAGTGAGCTAGGATTGCGCCACTGCACTCCAGCCTGGGTGATAGAAGGAGACTCCGTCTCTTTAAAAAAAAAAAAAAGAGATTTAAAATTTTAATTTAGTCCAATTTATCAACTCTTAAAATGTTTCCTGCTTTTTGTGTGTTCTAAGAAGCCTTTGCCTGTCCCAAAGTGTGCTCTTTTCTGGAAGTTTTATGGTTTTAGTTCTAAGTTTAGGTTGATGATGCATTATAAATTAATTTTCATGTGTGGTGTGAGATAGGAGTCAAGGTCATCTTTTCCATACAGTTATCCAGTTTTTCTAGCATCATTTGTTGAAAAGATTTCTTTCTCTCATTGGTTTGCCTTGGCACCCTTGTAAAAAATCAAATGACCATGTAAATGTGGATTTAATTGTAGACTTTGTTTGTTCTGTTGATCTATGTCTATTCTTATGCCAGTGCCACCCTGTCTTGATTACTGTAGATTTGTAGAAAGTCTTGAAATCAGATAGTGTGAGTTCTCCAACTTTGTTCTTAATTTTCAATATTGTTTTGGCTATTCTAGATCTCTAATATTTTCACATATGTATTTTGGAATCAACTTGTCAAATTTTACCAAAAAGCCTACTGGAGTCTTGGTTGAGATGGCATTAAATTTACAGGTCAATCTGGATAGAATTGACATCTTAATATTTAATCCTTCATCCATGAACATAGTATCTCTCCTCATTTATTAAGGTTTTCTTTGCTTTCTCTCAGTAGCAGTGAAAGGTCTATTTTTCATTGAAAGGTCTTATATATGAATAGCTTTTGTAACTTTATTTCTAAGCATTTTGTGTTTTCTGATGCTATTATATGTGGTATTGCTTTCAAATCCCATCTTCCTGTTATTTCCTCTAGTATAGAGAATTAAAATTCATTTTATTATGTTTGCAATATTTATTATGTTTTATTATATCTTGCAACGTGTCTAATTTATTCTTTCTTTTGTTTTTAGAGATTCCATAGGACTTTTTATGTAAACAATCATGTTATCTGAGGTTAAAGAGTTATGCTTCTTTTTCCATCTTCATGCTTTTTTCCTTTCTTACTGAACTGCACTAGCTAAGACATCTAATAATAATGTTAAATAGAAGTAGTGAGTGCGGACATCCTTGCTTTGTTCCCAGTCTTGGGGGGAAACATTCAGCCTTTCACCATTAAGCATGATGTTAGCTATAGTTTATCATTGATATACTTTATTATTTTGAGGAAATTCTTTTCTGTTTCTAGTATGCTGAGAATTTTAATCATCAGTGGGTACTACTTTTTCTGTGTCTATGGAGCTGATCATATGGCTCTTCTTTATTCTTTTGATTAAGTGAATTATGTTTCTCAATTTAGAACCTTATACTCTCTAAACCTCACTTGGTCATGATGTGTTTGTTATCTTTTCTATTAATATATATTGCTGAATTTGATTTATTTTTAAAAAGCAGATATCAGATTCGATACACATTAACCATTAATATGAAATTGTAAAGAAAGAATTTTGAAAGTTGGTTGTAAATCATAAAAAGTCCTAAAAAATGGCTAAAGTAATAAACTAAGAAGCAGCATAAGTAACCATATCACAGTCATGTGTTAATTACTAGAAACAAACTGAGGTTAATACATTTCTTAAGACATTAGCAAAAGAATGCTTTAAAAAAAGATAAGAATTGGTAAAACAGAAAATGGCAAAGAATAATTTTTTTAAAAAGCATGTATTTCCTGAGGCTACTGCGACAAATTACCCACAAATTTTAAACAACAGAAAATTTAAAACAACAGATATTTATCCTCTTATAGTTCTGGAGGCCAGAAGTCCAAAATCAAGGTGTCGGCAGGGCCTTGCTCCCTCTGGAGGCTCCGGGGGAGAATCTTTGCCTCTTTGGGCCTCTGGTGGCTGTTGGCATTTCCTGACTTGAGGCAGACCAGCATCCGTCTCCTGGCCATGTCGCCTCTTCCCTGTCTGTCTGCCTGTCTCTCCTGTGTATGTCTCTCATAAGGATGCTTCTGTTTGGATTTAGGGCCCACTGGGATAGTCCAGGGTGATCTCATCTTAAAATCCTTAACTTCATTGCATCTGCCAATACCCTTTTTCCAAATAAGATAACATTCACCAATTCTGGAGATTTGACATGGAATATCTTCTTCTTCTTCTTCTTCTTTTTTTTTTTTTTTTTTTTTTTGAGACATAGTCTAGCTCTGTTGTCCAGGTAGAGTTGCAGTGGTGCGATCTCGGCTCACTGCAACCTTCGCCTCCCAGGTTCAAATGATTCTCCTTCCTCAGTCTCCCGAGTAGCTGGGATTACAGGCGCACACCACCACACCCAGCTAGTATTTGTATTTTTAGTAGAGACAGGGTTTCACCATGTTGGCCAGGCTGGTCTCGAACTCCTGACCTCTAGTGATCCACCCACCTCGGCCTCCCAAAGTGCTGGGATTACAGGCGTGAGCCACTGTGCCCGGAATATCTTTCAAGGGGCCACCATTCAACCTTCTATACAGTGTAACTTTAAGATTTCCTGTATGAGGCCGGACGCAGTGGCACGTCTGTAATCCCAGCACTTTGGGAGGCTGAGATGGGCAGATCAAGAGGTCGAGACCATCCTGGCCAACCTGGTGAAACCCCATCTCTACTAAAAAATACAGATGGCATGGGCCTGTAGTCCCAGCCACTCGGGAAGCTGAGGCAGGAGAATCACCTGAACCCAGGAGGCAGAGATTGCAGTGAGCGGAGATTGCACCACTGCACTCCAACCTGGCGAGAGTGAGACTCCGTCTCAAAAAAAAAAAATTTTTCTGTATGAAACATTGATGTCTGATGACCAAATCAAATGAAATAAACTGAACAGCAAATACGAAATAAGAAGAAACTCACCCATAATCCTTGATTTTGACCATTTTAATATATTTTTTAAATGCTGCTATGAACACAAAATGAAAACGTATTACTAAAACTAAAACCATCTCTTCTAACATAAATTGTTGTCATCTTTATAAATGGTTAAAATAAACAAGTTTTGGGTAACTGTTTATTTGGAAATTTTGGGAATGTAGCCATTTGGCGAAGTAATTTGTGGCTAATTGGCTTTTGACGAATTGGTCATTTGACACATTGATTTTTAGCCAACTGGCACTTGGAGAATAGATGTTCATCAAGTTGGCCCACCTCCCACACGGGCCTGGGGCTTGGTGTCTGGGGCCGGGCTGTGAGGCCCACATAGGCGCCAGGCAGGCTGAGTACTTGGTGTGGGATCCAAAGATCCTCTTAGACCAGGAGGGAGAGCCCCACAAGACCTGGCCATCCCTGGCCTTGGCTGGCCTGCTCCTGGCTGGGCTGGGGGAGACTTGGGGGGGATACAGAATGAGAGTGACCCTTTATGGACTGTGTGCCAGGCCCTGAGCTAAGTGTCCCATGGGGCATTATCTCACTTGATCCTCACAATAAACCCCTGCAACTAGTATGATGATCTGCATTTGACAGATAAGGGAATGGAGGCACAGAGAGGTTAGGTTACCTGGCCAAGACCACACTGGCAGGTGAGGGGCAAAGTTCAGATTCCAGACCAGGCTGGCTGTCTCTAAAGCCTATGTTCCTATCCCCAGGGCCAAAATGGATCAGATGGAGTCCTTGTCCTCATGCAGCTACTGGCCCAGTCAGCTTCTTGATAAACCATTTCTATGGGCCTTATTGTAGCCTGACAGTGGAGCCCATTTCTCTTTCTCAGATGAGGAAACTGAGATCTGGATACGGTGTGAGGCTTGCTGAAGGTCGCTTAGTGGATCAGCATTAGAGCTAGAACAGGCACCAGGCTGGGTCCTGTTCGTCCTCCATCGGCTGCCTCCACCTCCAGCCTGGCTCCGGGATTTCTGCTCTTTTGTGTTCTTCTCCCTGAAAGTGGGACAGGCCCTGCAGTCTCCCGCCTTCCACCCCCAGCCCTCCTTGTTTATGTCCATGTTAATGGGCCTTTGCAGGCCGGCCCAGCTGCGGATGAGAGCCAGTGAGCCACCTGGAGCTGCGTCTGCCACAGAATGTTTACGGTGCGTGGAGCCGAAACGAAACAACATCCATCTTGTTGACTAGTACCAAACACTGTACTCATTCATGGCCAAGCCGCCGACGGGGTCCCTGTGCTTGGCAGTGAGCTGCCCCAGCTCTGCCGGCATAAACTGGCAGTGAGAAGAAAAGCAGGCAAGCTTTGGGGAAGTTGTGCCCTGAGCCCAGGTGGCCCCCCCGCCCATTTTCTGTTCACCCTGTCCTCTGACCAGATGGAGCATCAAGGTGGTACACTGCGATGTCAGCGCTGGTCTGAAGACAAGATGCTGGGGCACTGAGCTGGCGTCAGAAGTACAGGTCAGCCCTAACCAGTGAGGACTAATGAGGTCATCTGTGTAAACGTGAAGTGCTGGACAGAGCCCAGCAGCCTAGGAGAGCTTTGCCCCAGACAACTCTGCATCGAATCCTGGTATGACTGTCATCACTGCCCAAACTCAGTGTCCTCATCTCTCCAGCAGGATTAATGCTGATCTCAGCCTTGCAGAACTAACCAGAGAACCTTTGAGACACACTCATAAACCAAGTTGTTCCTGTAAATGTCCCGTACCTCCCAGGATGCCAAGGAGAGGAGAGCATCATCCTCTCTGGCCACCTTTAGGAGGCAGCAGCTAGGCGCTCTGCAATGACTGCCTGATGGGAACTCTGGAGGACTGGGTTCTGGTCCTGACTTGGCCACTGGCCCCAGTGTCACCTTGGACAGCCCTTCACGCTCACTGGGCCTCAGTCTCCCTCTTATGTAAAACAAGATTATCTTTTAGATCTGTTTTAGTCCTGCCACCTTACAGTGGAATGGCTGAGGGATGCTTCTCAAGGTGTGTACAGTTCCCATAGGAATGGCTTCTCCTGGCCTGTGGGCCGCCTGGCGGGTTGAGTATAGGGTGATCACTGGAGCCCTGGGCTGAGGACTGTAGTCTGGAATCACCAGCCCTGGGGATGAACCCCAAGTATGTCTCCTTCTAGATGTGTTATTCCGGAGAAGTCATTTCAACATCCTGGCCTTGGTTTCCTCATCTGTAAAATGGGCTGATTGATGTATCTAGCAAGACTGTTGAGAGGCTTAGATGAAATGTTTAGCACAGTGTTCTGGCCCTTAGGTGCAGACACAACACTCACATCCCATGGTAAGGGCTGTAGTGGGGAATGGCCAACCCTGTGGCAGGGTCAGGGAAGCCTTCCTAGAAGCAGCGGCCCCACTAAAGAAGGATAAGGGAAGGCAGGTGTGCACCTCATCCTTAGGGCATTGCAGTTCTGGTCCATGTTGTCACCAGGCTGAGGGCTCCTGAGGGCAGCAGCAGTATCTGCCTCATCTCTGGGCCCCAGTGCCCAGCTCAGGGTGGGTGGATGGGTGTTCTCTTTGGCCCATGCCAGAAAGGGTCTTGGGAGGCGGCAACCAGGCCAGACCAGGCAGGCCTGTCCACCATGAAGAGTCCAAATGCTGGGGCCAGAGGAGGGAGAGGCAGAGGTCTGGTCCAAGACCAGCCCCGCCTCTGGATCATGAAGCCTTTTGACAGGGGATTCACAGTGGCTGTCTGGGATTAGAAGACGACAGAACATTTAGAGGCATCTCCAGTCTACTGTGTTTGTTTTACAGAAAAGGGAACTGAAGCCTAGGGTCTGGTTGCTGCCTAAGACAGAAAGTGAGTTAAGAGCCAGGGTAGGACTAGAACTCTGGGCTCTGCTTCCTGCCTGGGGGTCCTTTCCCTGGATTCTTGACCTCAAGTGTGAAAAAGAGGGTCAGGCCTGAATAGGGAGCCCTACTTGCATGAGCACCTGCTGCTTCCTGATGGAGGTAAAGTATGGTCTCATGGACAGGCTTTCTCCTTGGCAATGTTGGCAGCAGCAGCAGCAGTATCTGTGAGTGGGCTGCCCTTCATCAGCCCCTCGACTTTCCTAGAAACCCCCCTTTGCATCCTCAGAAGTCAGGGCAATGTGGTCCTGTGTGGGCTGGTGCAGCCCTGTGCACAGCTACAGGCAGGGCCAGGGGCAAGTCTGCAGCCTCCCTGCCCCTCACAGAGGCCTGCTCCTAATTGGATGAAAACACTGCTAGGTGCTGCTTCATGGAAATGTTCATTAGTTTCCACCTCCTGTCTCTTGAGAGAAACCAGTGGGTTTCAACTAATAATGTTGTAAAGGCCAGAGCTGGGACTGTGGCCTGGTGACCCACCCTAGGGGCCTGCATCTTAGAGAAAGGGCTTCTTATCTCTCATCTTTCTAGCAGTCTTTCCTGGCAGCAGAGGCTTGAGTGGCATCCAAGGCCTAGCCCAGTTCTCACCTGGTGTATTCATTTCTGCATTTGTTCTGCAAGCTGGCAGCTGATCACTTACAGCGGGAGAAGGGGAAGTTTTGGGATGGGCAAGGGTTGGGGAGGTGAGCTCCGTCTCAGGTTCTCAAACCCTCTCTGCTGATCGGCCAGTGGGGAGACTGTCCCTGCCGAGGTCCCTTCCCCAGGCCTGCCCTTTCTGGGCTTTCTGGAGTCAGCCCTGCACTCTCCCACCTTGTGCCCCAGCACAGGGCCTGGACTGCCTGCTCACCTTCCCTGGGGAGCTTTCAAAGGAACCATATGCTTGCCTTCTTGTGGGTCCCTCTGGGCTCAGGACTCTGTCACTGAATCCAGAAATAGTCCCTGGGATGCAAGAAATCAAGACACAGTCCTGCTCACCCCCACTCACTCTGTGACCTTGGGGGAGACCTTGCTTTCCCTACCTGAAGAAGGATGGCTGGGAGCTGAGGTTCTCAGCAGCGCTTCCTTTTCTTAACAGGGCCTTCTTTGAACTGCCTCCTTTGCTCTCCTGAAATGAAATGCACCGATAACATAGCCGGCCTGCACCATCTTTTAAAAATTTTTCATATAAGGTTTTATATTGAAGAAGAACTAAAAGGGAAATAACTTGTAAACAATGTATTTCCACATTCACACACTCAGGCATGACTGTGCTGGAAGATGGGATGAAGTCATCGGCCAATTGCCCGTGTGCGGCATTGCTAAGCTTGATGGCTGCAAACACACAGATGTCACAAGTAGCGTGGCCGAGGGTGATGTGATTTTCTGAGATGGTGAACAATCCCTGGTCAGCTCCCAAACAAAACACAGCATAGTCTTTCCTCAATTTACATGGCAGTTCCATTCCTGGAAAATTTAGTGTCTCTTAAAACCATGAGAAAGTACTTGTATTTAAATGTAAAATGGAGCTATGTTCTAGGCTTAGATGATCAGGTTGCTTGTTTACAGATAGTTGAATATCTGGCAAGATATTAGAAAGTTAGTGTGAGACTGACCCACCCACTCTTGGTGGTGAGTTGGCCATCCCTGGCTGCTCCCCACTAAATGACAAGTACTCCCAGTCATGGCAGCCACCAGAAATCCACCCCCATGATTTCCAGTGTGTCCCCTGGGGTGGAACCCCACCTTGGAACCTCTGCCACAGTGATGTCTGAGGGCCTGTTGTTCCTGGCGGGCTGAGCGTGCAGGCTGACTCCAGCCTAGGGCCTAGGCTGGCTCTAGGCCCTCTGGAGGAGGGCAGAGAGGATTGCATGAAGCCCCATGGGGTGGGGCTGGTCAGGGAAATCTTCCTGGAGGAGGGAGCCTGGGATCTGGGTGGGTTCAGGTCTGGGGTGGAGATGGGGTTGGGGGTGGGATTTTTCAGAAGCCAAAGCTGTGACTTCCCCAGTAGCCCTTTCCCTATTTCTGGCCACATGGTGGAACAAATAATCTTTTCCACAGAATCCAGAAATCCCGAGCCTCGGAGGGACTTGGAACTCTTGCCCCTGTCTGCTCCGGGCTGGATCTCCGGATTGTGCCCGTTCCTGGAGAGCTGAGGTGTCCAGGGTGTCTGCATTGTCCCCCAGGACAGTGACATTATCTCACTCAGAGCTACCAGTCCTTCTCATGGAGACCCAAGATGGAGGGAGGTGGAGAGAGGGGTTGTCAGGTGTTGGCATCCCTGTCTCCCACACACCCCTCTCCTGTCCAGAGCTGGGCATCCCCCACCCAACCCTGTTGCTGTCATGGAGTCCTTCTTACACTTTGTATATTTTTGAGCCATTTGAAGGCATTTTATCAGTGAGGGGGAAAAAACCAGTGTGGGCACAGGAGTTACCTAATTAGCTTGATTTAAAGGAGAAGGTTAAAAAATGCCAAGCATGAAGTAATAAATATATACCTGACATAAGCATCTATGGCCCTGTATGTACTGAAAACGCAGATGGAATATGTTTATCTCTGATACATTTTCTTAGCGATTTCAACAGCCATTTCCTCTGCATTTCTTGTCATCCCATTACTGTCCTGGCTGTTTTGAGTGTTGGTCACCATCGCTGTCGCTCCCTGAAAATTTAGGCCGGGCAGGGGCTTATATGGGGCTCTAGGACATATCAGGAAATGGCAGCCTTGGGATCAGAGAATCATGGAATTTTATAACTTCAGAATCTCCTCATGACAGATTTGTGGGATCATGGAATCTTAGAAGCAGTAATTGAAGTGCTTAGCTTTATAAAATTGTATTACCTTAGAGCTGGGTGCGGTGGCTCTTGCCTGTAATCCCAGCACTTTGGCAGGCCGAGGTGGGTGGATTGCCTGAGCTCAGGAATTCGAGACCAGCCTGGGCAACATGTTGAAACCCTGTCTCTACTAAAATACAAAAATTAGCCAGGTGTGGTTGCGCACGCCTGTAATCCCAACTACTCGGAAGGCTGAGGCATGAGTTATTGCTTGAATCCAGGAGGTGGAGGTTGCAGTGAGCCGAGATGGTGCCATCCCACTCCAGCCTGGGTAACAGAGCAAGACTCTGTCTCCAAAAAAAATAAAAATAAAATAAATAAATGAATAAAATAAATAAATAAAATCATATCATCTTAGAATGAGAGATTCATGGAATTATAGAATCCCTGTTGCATATAAATCCCAAATTTTGAATTTTGGAATCATACTAGCTCAGTATGATAAAAGGTAAAATCTGAGAAGTTTAAAGGATGTTGGGGTTTACTTACTAGACCATCCCTCCCAACCCTTGGGAGATACAGAAATATGTTAAATACTCTCAGTGCCTTCTTCTACCAGCTCCAGCTCCTTGGGACCTTGCTTTGCACCCCAGCCTGGAGTCTCCCTTGGCCCTAGAGAGGCACTAGTGGTCACTCACACCGGGCAGTGGTGCAGCCTTTCACAGGGTAGGAGTTGGGAGACATGGGGAGCCTGGGAGATGGCACTAGGAGGGAAGAGAGGGCAGAGGCCCTCGCAGACCTGCCCTGAGGAGGAGGAAGCCCTGCACAGCCCTCCTGCCAGCCGCCTTATCTCATGTGGATGCACCTGTTTCCATCCATCAGCCACCAAGGGGAAGGATACCCAGCAGTTCCCTGGGCCAGCATCTGAGAGTGTCCTCCTGACCCCTGCCGTCAAATTACTAGAGGTGGGCCAGGAGGGACAGGGAACTATTCACAGACCCTGGGGGAGGGTCTGTGCTGAGTTAGAGGACCACCGTCTAGTCCCATTCTGTCTTAGGTTTATTCTCAAGGATTTTGTTTGCAGTCTTTTTATTATTAAAACAATGTGAAATATTTCAAAATATATAATATAGAGATTTTTAAAAATTATTTAAAAATTTATGTACAGTAAATTTACAGAGAATGCATATGTGTGTGAGAGTGTGTGTGAGTGTGTGCACGAATATGTGAGTATAAGAGAGTGTGTATGAGTGTGTGAGAGGGTGAGAGTCCGTGTGTGTGCATGTGTGTGAAAGAGTATGTGTGTGCATGTGTGTGCGTGTGTGTGCGTGTGAGAGAACAATTCTGTGAGATCTGACAAATGCATAGAGTCACATTGCCACCACTCCAATGAGGAAACAGAACAGTCCCCTTAATCCAAAAAAGGAATATAGAGCTTTTAACACCCCTAATCCCAAAGCCACCACCTCCCTGCATCTACGCTTTTCTTTCTAAAGTCTTTTTCAACACAAAACTCAGAGAGCGTTTCCCACCTGTCGAGTCTGGTTGTGCCCTGCTTTCCAGTGGCTTCCTGCCACACTGGAATAACACCCAGCATCCTCACCGCAGCCCCCAGACCCTGCTCTGTGGCCTCACTGCCTGCCTCCGTCACCTTGCTTGCTAGGCTCCAGCCACACCTGGCCTGTGTTCCCGCCCTGGAACGCACTCCAGCCTCGGGTCCTTTGTACCCTGCTGCTTCCCCTTCCTGGCATGCCCTCCCTCCCCTCAGGCCTCTGTTCAAATGTCACCCCCTTGGAGACACCTTCTCTGACTGTCCTGTCTCTCTTTACTTTCTAACTTCTTGTTTTCATTTTAATTTATAACATTAATCAGTTCCTGATATTACAGTATATATTTATTTGTGTACTTTTGAAACTGTCCTGTTATTGGAATGTAAACCGCATAAGAGTAGAGACTTTCCTTTCTCATTCATCACTGGAACACCGCATTTTTGGTGCCTGGTCCTGGCATATAGTAGGCATTCAATATCCATGTGTTAAATGAATGAATTGTTAACATTTGATGTATTGATTTGCCATTCTTTTTACTCTTCAGGTCATTTTTAGTATATGGAATTTTGAATCCTGCGCTTATAATTAATTCTTATAAATATTTTCCTTTGTGACTGAAAACTTGAGTAAATCTAGAGAAACCCATGACTTGTGATGAGGCAAATTCATATAAAACATGGTTGGCCATTGGTAGTTGTTGCTGTCCTCTGTCCAGCCTCTTTACAAATGGGGCAGTGAGAATTCATCTTTTCTGTGGAGCTGTGGGGGAATGGATGGGTTTAGGAAGTGACTGCCTCATAAATCATTTGAGACTTTCTCAGTTCCTTGTGTGGTGTGGACTTTGTAATAAGTGGGCTGTTTCTTACATATTTAATCAATGTAAACATTTTTTCCCACACATTAACTGAAAAAAAAACCACCAAAAATATCATTTTTAAATTACATAATAACACAGCTCTGCATGTTTAATTTATTGAAGCTTTTGGGTCACACTTATTGCATTATGGTAGGGTTTCACTGTATCATATTCAATAGCTACATAAAATTTCTGCTGAATAACTTCACAATAATTTACTTACTCATTCTTCTATTATTGGATATATAGGCTATCTCCTATTCTTTTCTGTTATAAATGCTTAAAATTTTGCATATTCTTTGACTCTGCAGTCCCACATCTAGGAATTTATCCTAAGGCTATAAATATGGATGGACATGAAGATAGGTCTATAAAGACATTCATTAAATGGTCGTTTTGAGTTTTTCACTTCTCCAAATAATTTTAATTCCAACCATGAGGAAAAATTAAATATGTACAACCATAGAATGGAATCTATAGAGTCATTAAAATTATTTGTTAAAAGGGGATTTTTGCATCTGCTATAGCAAATTAGCTTGTATCGGACTAATATTTCCTCTGGATAAAATATAAAAAGCATTTGTTTAAAGGCATCAAAGAACTGGCTGGGCTCACGCCTGTAATCCCAGCACTTTGGGAGGCCAAGGTGGGTGGATCACCTGAGGTCAGGAGTTTGAGACCAGCCTGGCCAACATGGTGAAACCCCATGTCTACTAAAAATGCAAAAATTAGCCGCACGTGGTGGTGGGTGCCTGTAGTTCCAGCTACTCGGGAGGCTGAGGCAGGAGAATGGTGTAAACCTGGGAGGCAGAGCTTGCTGTGAGTCGAGATCGTGCCACTGCACTCCAGCCTGGGTGACAGAGCGAGACCCCATCTCAAAAAAAAAAAAAAAAGGCATCAAAGAACTAATGAGACAGCTAGGACTTGAGGGACCAAGACACCAGAGAGAAGGGAAATGCACTAAGGTGAATATGACACTGTGCCTCTTCTTCCTTTCAGGCATTAGCCAATCTGTAGGTAATGTGGGGCCAAGAGTCAGAGAGCTCAACAGATCTTTCTATAGCCTTACTGTGCTGTGGAGACAAAAATTGGAGTTAAGGGCTACTGAGACAGGCAGATCATGAGGGGTCAAGATCCCAGGGAGATGGGGAAGTGCCAAAAAGTAAGCCTAACAGGCCAGGCGCGGTGGCTCACACCTGTAGTCCCAGCACTTTGGGAGGCCGAGGTGGGTGGATCACGAGGTCAGGAGATTGAGACTATTCTGGCTAACACAGTGAAACCCCGTCTCTACTAAAAATACAAAAAAATTAGCTGGATGTGGTGGCGGGCACCTGTAGTCCCAGCTACTTAGGAGGCTGAGGCAGGAGGATGGTGTGAACCCGGGAGGCGGAGCTTGCTGTGAGCCGAGATCGCGCCACTGCACTCCAGCTTGGGTGACAGAGCGAGACTCCATCTAAAAAAAACAAAAAGTAAGCCTAACATTCAGCATTGCTTTTCCTTCAAGTTATTTGCTGATTTATGCATGGCACAGGCTAAGGGGTAAAGAAACCAACAGATGTGGCAGTTATGAAGTTGAGAAGTGGGCTAGGTGTGATGGTTTACACCTGTAATCTCAGGACTTTAGGAAGTTGAGGGGGGAAGATCACTTGAGGCCAGTAGTTTGAGACCCCCTGGGCAATATAGCAAGACATGGTATCTACAAAAATTAAAAAATTAGCTGGCCATGGTGGTATGGGCCTGTAGTCCCAGCTACTTGGGAGGCTCTGGTGGGAGGATCCCTTGAGCCTGGGAGTTTGGGGCTGCAGTGTGCTCTGATTGCACCATTGCACTCCAGCCTGGGCAACAGAGTGAGACCCTGTCTCTGAGAAGAGGAAGAAGAAAAAGAAAAAAGAAGTTGATAAATTAGGCAGAGCTTTTAACAGCTTCAAGTTCTAGGAAGACAAATGTGAAGTTCAGGGTCAGCAAAGAAGAAGCTTGGTATCCCAAACTTTCAGTTGAGGACCCTGACAGGCAGCATCTAGAAGAATGGATGAGCCAGAAACAGAGCAACTTGTACAAAGAGTGAAGCCCAGCTTTAAAACAGCCAAATCCCAGACTGAATTAAGATGATATTTTCCTCTTTTACCTGCCTTTAAGAAGCAAAATAAAATTTTCTCTGGAGGAAGATATCATCTGTCCAAATTTCATACACAATATTGAGCATTCTGTCAAAAATTACCAGAGATACCAGGAGACAGGACCAAGAGGGAGAAAAACACAATAAAAACACACAAGTAGTCCAGATGTTGGTGTTATCAGACACAGGATTGAAAATAACTGTGATTGGCCAGGCGCAGTGGCTCATGCCTACAATCCCAGCACTTTGGGAGGTCAAGGCAGGAGGATCACTTGAGCCCAGAAGTTCAAGACTAGTCTGGGCAAACTGTTGAGACCCTGTCTCTACAAAAAATACACAAATTAGCTGAGCATGATAGTGCGTGTGTTGCCTATAATCTCAGCTATTTGGGAGGCTGAAATGGCTGGATTGCTTGAGCCTGGGAAGTTGAAGCTGCAGGGAGCCAAGGTCATGCCACAGTACTCCAGCCTGGGTGACAGGGCAGGACCCTGTCTCAAAAAATAAAATAACTGTTCATAACATTAATATGTTCAAGAAAATTGATAAATAGAGAATTTAATAGAGATCTGAAAACCATAAAAATTAATAAAATGAAAAATTTTAAATGAAAAAATATAGTAACAGAATTTAAGAATGCAAAAGCTAGATTTAAAAGATGCAGTTAAAGAGAGGATCAGTGAACTGGAAAATAGGCCAGTAGACAAAATCCAGGCTGATGCATGAAAGTTAAAAAAGGATGGAAAATTCAAAAATAGCATAAGAGATATATAGGACATGGTGAAAGGACCTAACATACATTGTTGCCCCAGAAAGACAGGGGAAAGACGACGAGCAAAGTAAAGTTTGAAGTGGTAATAGCCAGTAGTTTTCCAAAACTGACAGAAGACGTTGTGACACATATTTAAGAATTCCTGTGAACCTCAAGCAGAATAAATACAAAGAGAAGCACACCTAGGCACACCATAGTTATGTCAAACTGCTGAAAACAAAACACGGAGAGAAAATCTTAAAAGTAGTCAGGGTTGAGGGGGAAGATGCAATAACTTCAAAAGACTTAGAGATGACTTTCCAATAGAAATTATGAAATTCTTAACACAGTGGCATAAATCCATAATATATGGAAAGAAGATAACTGCCAACTTAGAATTCTATACCCAGCAGAAATATTCTTCAGAAGTAATGAAATAATAACATTTTCAAACAAATGTTTGGGTCCCAGAAAAAGTTGAGATAATTCCTTGCCAGTAGGCTTACAATTTTTAAAAATTTTTAATGCAAAAGGAAAAAGACCTCATATGGAAACAGGATGAAGGGAAAGTATTTTTTTAAATATTAACTATTACTATGGCACTGGTTTTGAGAAATATATAAATAAACACTATATTGACTACACAAAACAATACTATCTGGTAACGATTTAAAAATATATGTAGAATTGAAATATACAAAAACAGTAACCCAAAGAATGTGTGTGTGTAGGCACATGAATGGAATTAGAGTCCTGAGGTTCTTGCCTTGTGTAGAAAGTAGTAAAAGTACATTTATGCACTGCACAATGTTTCAATCAATGACAGACTACATATACAATGGTGGTTCTATAAGATGATGATACTGTATTTTTACTGTACTTTTTCTGTTTAGAGATACACAAATGCTAATCATTGTGTTACAGTCACCTACAGTATTCAGTACAATACCATGCTGTACATGTTTGTAGCACAGGAGCAATAGGCTATACCAGATAGCCTAGGTGTGATCATGTATGCCACATAGATGGTAGCCTATACCACCTAGGTTTGTGTAAGTACATTCTATGATGTTCACACAGCAATGAAATCATCTAATAATGCATTTCTCAGAATGTATCCCTGTTGTTGATGCATGACTGTACTGATCTATATTAGACTGCAATAGAAGAAAGTATATCTAACAAGCTAATAAAATGGAATAATAAAAAATGCTTGATTAATTTGAAAGAAGGTAAGAAAGGAGAGAAAACCTAGAATAGGTTCAAATAAAAAAGGATTTAGGCTGGGTGCGGTGGCTCACGCCAGTAATCCCAACACTTTGGGAGGCCAAGGCAGGTGGATCATGAGGTCAGGAGTTCAAGACCAGCCTGGCCAATATGGTAAAACCCCATCTCTACTAAAAATACAAAAATTAGCCAGGTGTGGTGGCACACACCTGTAGTCGCAGCTACTCAGGAGGCTGAGGCAGAATTGCTTGAACCCAGGAGGTGGAGGTTGCAGTGAGCCAAGATCGCACGACTGCACTCCAGCCTGGGCGACAGAGTGAGACTGCATCTCAAAAAAAAAAAAAAAAAAAAAAAAAGATTTAAACCCAAATACCCAAATATATGGTAATTGCATTAAATGTAAATGGTATAAATGGACTAAATATTCAAATTAAAAACAAAGATTGTCAAGTGGATAAAAATTATTTTGTAGAAGAATATTAATAAGGATGCTTTTGGTTTAAGTAATAAAAATCCCATCTGTGACAGGCTTGAAACACTATAAGAGCTTTACTGTTCACTGGAGGCTCTTGGTGCCACCAGTGCTGTGACTTAGTTTCTCTGCTGTTCTTCTAGCTGAGAGGTCTCATTTTATTGACCTTGTCCTCCAGTTGACTTTTCTTAGGGGAACAGGATGGCTTCTACTAGCCCCCAGGGCTGCATGCATCCTCATTCACATGCAGGGGGGCAGAGTCATCAAACAGAACTGCCAGGAATCTGTCTAATTAAGCCAGCTTGCCTTACATGTCTCTCTCTGAGCCATTCACTGTGGCACTATATCTGGAGAGATGGGAACATGCTGATTGGTTCAGGCCTTCCACAGCCCACCCTGGGGTGGGATTAATAAGAACAACAATCATAGCAAACAGTTATGTAGTGCCTGCTGTATGCCAGTTTCTGTTCTAGGTACTTAATATATGGTACATTAACCCATTTTAACTTCATAAACTGTGGCACAAAGAAGCTAAGTCACTTGGCTTAGACAAGGTCACACAGTTAGTAAGTGGCAAAATCAAGATTCAAACCTAGTCTTCTGGCTCCAAAATCTATACTCTTATCTGTGATGCTATACTCTCTCTCAAGCTCCATAGCTAGATATAGGAAATATGGGATCCTACTAGGGAGGGAAAAGGAGGGCGTGAATCCTAGGTGTTACAGAATGAATATTACTGTCCCCCTCTCAAATTCATATGTTGAAACCCTAACACCCAGTGTGGCTGTGTTTGGAGATGAGGCCTCTAAGGAAGTAATTAAAGTTAAATGAGGTCATAAGGGTGGAGCCCTGATCAGATAGGACTAGTATGCTTTTAAGAAGAGACACCAGGCTGGGCAGTGGCTCACGCCTATATTCCCAACACTTTGGGAGGCCAAGGCAGAAGGATTGCTTGAGCCCAAGAGTTCAAAACCAGCCTGGGAAACATAGTGAGACCTCATCTCTAAAAAATAAAAAATTAGCCAAGTATGGTGGTACACATCTGTAGTCCTTCCTAGCTACTTGGGAGGCTGAAGTGGGAGGATTGTTTGAGTCCAGGAACTTGAGGCTGCAGTGTGCTATGATCGCACCACTGCACTCCAGCCTGGATGACAGCAGAGCAAGACCCTGTCTCAAAAAAAAAAAAAAAAAAGAGAGACATCAGAGAGCTCACTCTACTTTCTCCGTGCCCACACTGAGGAAAGGCCATGTGAGGACATAGTGAGAAGGCTGCTGTCTCCAAGCCAGGAAGAGAGCCCTTACCAGAAACCAAATTCACTGGCAACTTGATCTTGGACTTCTTGCCTCTGGAATTGTGAGAAAATACATTTCAGTTGTTTAAGCCACCTAGTCTATGGTATTTTGTTATAGCAGCCGGAACTGACTAGTACACTGGGGAAGCCATCAGCTGCAGCTGCCCTAAATCGCTTAATGATGTGGAGCAGTGTCTGGGTCAGCAGTGCCTTCCAAGTCTAATAGAGCTGGCCTTGCATCCTGACTGTCCCATTTCACAGCTGCATGACCTTGGGCAAGTCCCTTACTCTTCATCTGGAAATGGGTTTAGCAATACTGGCACGGAAAGAGCCTAGCACTGTACCTGGCACATAATGGGCACTCCATCAACTTTGGTATCATGGTATGTTACTAAATGAAAAAAGCAGAGTATCAGAAAGTATGAGCCGGGTGTGATGGCAAGCACCTGTTGTCCTGGCTACTCAGGAGGCTGAGGTGGAGGATCCCATGAGGCCAGGAGGTCAAGACAGCAGTGAACTATGATCACGCCAGTGTACCCTGGCCTAGGCAACAGAGTGAGACCCTGTCTCTAAAAGAAAAAGAAAGAAAAGAAAATACATGTATTTCCCTGCTTTTTGTCAAAAAATGTATATAGATGCATAGAAAATACTGCAGAGGTTTATGTCCTCATGTCTGTGATGGTGCTTTCTGGCTGCTAGCCTTATAGGTGATATCTATTTTCTAATTTGCCTAGGTACACCTTCTGATTTTTTCTACAATAAATATGTGTGATTTTGCTAGCAGTAAGAGAGTCTGAGGGAAAAGCTGGCCCCTGGCTGTGTTTATTTACACACACCATACACCTGCCCCCACATGTGTGACCCGCCCTGGGCTGCTCACTCTGGCCCTGGACCGGGCTGGAGCTATGGGCTGGCTCGGGTGTCTCCGCGGCGCCGTCCTGAGGTGAGCCTGCTCAGGTTTCACTGGCCCGAGTCCCCGTAAGTCTAGCTTAGCTTTAAAGGGGGAATTTATGGGATTCTTGCAGTCTGGGATAAGAGGTGGTGGGCGGCAGAAGCCCGGCGTGAGGCCGCGAGCGTCAGGCCTGCTGTTCTGGAGGCCCCTGCTGAGGTTACGGCCCCTCTGATGGCCATGAATGCCCCAAGGCGGCTCCAGGCAAGCAGCAGGTCTCAGCTAACCCGGTCCACCGGGCTGTCCACCTTCCTGCTGCTCCTCTTTCAGAAGCCCATCTCCCTGCTGGTCTCTGGGCTTCTGGATTTTGTGAGGAGGGAAAAGAGGGAGTGACGAGGCAGCCCAGAGAGCAGAAAGGGTTAGGAGATGAACGCTGCTCGGGCTCTGTCTCTGCTGTGTGTCCTGCGGTGAGCTGCTCACCCGCCCTGGACCTAGGAAGTGGGAAGCACTATGTCTCCTGCCTGTGATTCCTGGGGTGCCCCTCCTGCCAGGGCCTGACCTGTGGGAAGCCCAGCAGAGCACTCCTGGGGCACAGAGGGCAAAGCTAGGCTCAGAGAGGGGGCTGCCACGCCCATGCTCAGCCTCCTGGGGAAGGGCTGCTGGCATGACTCCGTTGGCCTAGGGCTGCTCTTCCATGGCGGCTGATGCCCACTGCCCAGGAAAATAGGTCTACCCCAGGGGCTGTTGACCATGTCTCTCTGCCTGTCCAGACAGCAGCAGAGGGGCCTTTATCAAAGTGCTGCCTGTGCCAGGCACCATGCCAGAGACTCCATGTACATTACCTCACTTAATCCTAAGAGCCAGCCATCCCCTGGAGCTGGGATTCTTATCCCCATTTTATAGATGAAGAAACTGAGGCTCAGAAGGGTGAGGTGACTGTCTAGGGTCAAATAGCTAGAAAGTTAATGGTGGAGCAGGACTTCAACCTAGGTGTGTGTGTGACAAAGCTTGTTCCACTCCCCTAAGTCACAGTGTCTGGCATATAGTAGGCACAAAAGTAAACTTGAGACAGGCCTCCCAGCCACCTACCCTCCCAGCATTTCTAAGCACTTGCTGTGGGCCTGACTGTGCTGGGAATGAGGGAATGAGAGGGCACATGCCTGGGGGGCCCAGGTGTCTAGAGAACGCACTCACTGTGTGACTAGGACAAGTCCCTTCTTCAATCCGGGCCCCTGTTTTCCCTTCAATATGTGAAGCAAGTTGGACAAAATCATGCTGAGGGCCACATTGACATTCAGCAGCTCTGGGGCTCCAAGATCCTTGTCCTGAAGGATTTCTCAGGCTCGTAGGGGAGGTAGGACTTTCATTGCACCGAAAGCATCTGTGTGGCAGTAGAGAGTACTATAGTGATGTTGTGAAGATTTAGAGAAAAACCATGGGAAGGATTTGGCACGTGCTGGATGTGCAGAAGGCGCACCTAAGTGGCAGCTATTCGCAGGGACTGCCGAGGCCGGGGAGCTCAGGCAGTGGAGGAAGCCAGGAGGGAAGGCAGGAGACCAAGCACCATTCCAGGAGGAGGTGTGCTTCTGCTGGGCTCTGAGGGCCCAGAGGGGTTTGGAAGGGTCAGGCCACCCTGATGGGATGCCGAGGATGTGTGCCTCAGAGCAGCGAAGCATCATGGATGTGTGAGGTCACACCAGGTGGACAGGGGAGTCTAGGTTGTAGTGGCCCCAGAGCCAGGCTGAAGGCACTTCCATTCATTGAATGCCCACCAGGAGCCAGGCCTGCGTTCAGTATTTGACAGTGATTTCACACCCTCAGCTCCACCCTGTAAAATCCTCCCCATTTTACAGATGCAGGAAAAAGTATGCTCATTTCAGATGTTGAATCCTGTCTCTCTCACTGCTGCATGAGATCGGGGGTTGGCGATTAACAGCCTAGGAGCCAGCAATCTGTTTTTCTAAATAAAGTTTTATTGGAACACAGTCCCACTCATTTGTGTGTGTGTGTGTGTATATATATATATGTATATATATACACACACACACACACACACATATATATATATTTTTTAATGGTACAAGGGCAGAGTTGAGTAGTTGTGGCAGGGACTATATACCCACAAAGCCTAAATCATTTACTTTTTTGCCCTTTACAGAAAAAGCTTGCTGACTAGATGGCTGAGTCAGGCAAGTCTAAGCCTTATACTTGCTGTGTGAGCTTGGGCAAATCACCTGCCCTCTCTGAGCCTGCCCAGTCAACTCCTGAGGGTTGTAATGAAGCTCACAGGTGATGGATGCAAAAATGTTTTGTAAACTGTAAAGTGCAGTGCCCTATCACCAGCCCAGTGCCTGATAGACAATAAAGTCTGCTTGTGGTTAAAACAAGAAGGCGGTCATGATGTAGGCCTGCCTGGACCCAGCTGCTGGATGCTTCTGGGACTGCAAGGAGGCAGCCTCTGGGTCTTAGATGCTGAATGCATCATTGCCCACTCTCACGCAGACTTGGCAGGGTTCAGCATAAATTAAAATTCTTGTGGGGAGTCACCTTATATGTGGTGCCACTTTATAGCCAAGTCATTATGGTAATTTGCAAAGCTCTCTGGTGTGTAACTAGAGCTGTTTGCTTCGGATTTGTTGGCTGTGACCTCGTTTAGGCTACGCCATCCTGCATGTACTGAACCCCAAGTCTTGAGGGTTTGTCCTTCTGAGTCTGGCCTTAGAGTCATCCAGACCTGCCCTTTCTGGGGACAACATGTTTCCCTTACAGGTCCCCATCTCCCTGCCCCAGGCTCAAGGAGAAATAAAAGAAATAATTATCATCACATTACTTTTTAAGCACTAACTGTGAGCTAGGCCTCATGCCAAATGCATTGTGTTCATATTCTCATTTGTCACCTCAACGTTGTGGGTTAGGTGTTAGCACCATTTTACAGATAAGAACATTGAGGCTTGATGAGAAAACCAAATGAAATTCTTACCTAGCTTAAAAAGTGCCAATCCAGGCCCTGCTATGGATTTGCTGTGTGGCTGGGGCAGGCCCTTTCCTTCTCTGAGCCTTAGCTTCTTATCTATTAATGAAATAGATGGTCAGCCAGTCCCAACTCTGACATTCTAGGATTTCTCACTAACTTGTAAAAGTAAACACAGGACTCCATCACCCTGTAAGTCTCCAAAGGAGCTTCATTTGCATGGGGAAAGCCAGGCCCAAGGTTGGCTCTTGGCCCCCTGTGGCACAGAGTGAGACATGGTTGCGGGTGCCAACCTCTTTCTAGGGCACCCCTGCTCCCCCGGCTTTTCCAGGGAAGGATCCATCCATCCATGCTCTCTGGAGATGGAGAGTGAACAGGAGTGGACCTCCTCCATCTGGGTCTTGTGAAGTCACTGGGGACAGGGAGGCAAGACAACAGACAGGAGGCAGTGCCTACATCTTTCCTGGCAGACATGGGACCGTGATGGGTAGCGATGAGAGTCCCCGCATCTTTCCAGTGACAGCAGCATTTCTGGGACACGTGTTTGCAGTGTTGGGTTTAACTTCCAGTCTCTGAGACAGCAGGTATCCCGGGGCAGAGTCTAGGCTTTGAAAGACCAACTTTGGGCCACGACTATGCCAGCAATTACTGTATGACCTTGGGTGACCACTTGCTGGCCCTGGTGCTCAGTGTCCCTCTGCAAAGTTGGGAGGTTGATGTTTCCACCCAGAGCGCTGTGAGGGTCCCAGCAGACAAGGGCTTGAATGAGCCTAGAGCACTAAGTGGCACCATACTATGACTTGAGTGGCGCCTTCCCCCTTCCCTCCCTCCCAAAGCTGGTTTGTTTATTTACTGCAGGAAAACCTTTTACTGTATCCAGAGGAGAAGAAGCTAACAGGCCTCAATAGTTTGTTGGGTAAAGACTATTTCTTCCTGTAGAAGTGATGGGTTTGATCTCCACTCAGTCCCTTCTTCCCTGTGTGACCTTGGCAAACTGCTTTGACCATTCTGAGCCTTTGTATCCTCATCTGTCGATGGAGCGGGCTTACCCTCCTGGCAGAATTATTGCAAAGATTAAAGCTTAGACATCATTATGATGGTTTTCCTTTTTACTTTCCCAGAGGCTCTCCAACATGACCCTCATTGGAGTCAAAGGTGGGGACACTTATTTAGGGGTCTCTGGTTATTCAGCAGTTGGCCAAGAGGCAGCAGGATGTGGGCTTTGAAGTCTGGGAGATCTAGGTTTGAACTGTGGCCCTGCTTCTTACAGACCCCCAAGCCTGCTCAAAGGCACAGAATCTCTCTCCAAACCTTGACTTTCTCATCTGGAAAATGGCTGTCCTGCCCCTGCCCCACAGGGATGGACCCTTGAAGGTCTTGATGAGTGAGGGCTTGGTAGGTGCTGGCTGTCCACCCTTTCTAGGGCCTGCCTTCCTTCACTGCACACAGCCTCCTAAGTGCAGGAGGGGAGGAGTAACCCAAGGCCCCAGAGGGGCCTGGTGAGTCCTGGAAGGAAGCTCTGAACGGCACCCCCGTTAGAGACCCTGGGAGAAAGACCCTGGTGAAACTGCTCCGTGTGATGATTAAGCTCTCTCTGCTCCAAATGCTATTAATGGTCATAAAATTATCCACAGTTTTCTGAGGCCCAGTCCCAGGGTTTGCCTCAATGGGACAATAAAATTGCATGCAGAAACGATTTGGAAAAGGCAAAGACGGCCAAGCAGAGACGGAGTTAAATGAGCGGCAGCCTGCTCTCATTAACTCGGGCCATTCACATTTGTTACCAGGGATTTCATTTTAATTAAAAAACAACCCAGTTATTAAAACATAAGCTTGCGAGGGGCTGGCCAGGCAGCAGCCAGGGCCAGTGGGAACAAGCGTTGCTCGCAGCAGGACGGGCCAGGACTGGGGCTGGGGCTGGGAAGGTAGCGTGGGAGCAGATGTTTGCCGAGTCCTCTCCACGGGCTCGCGTGTGGCTGGGAACGTGGAGGCTCCCATATGAGCACCTCACCTGCCCTGGGACCTTGTGAGCATTGCATGCTCATCCACAGACTGGAACGTGCTCGGCAAGCAAATGCCTGGTGCCTGTCCAGAGCTATGGCACATGGCTAGTTAGCACTGAGTGCCCGGCCTCAGCATGGGGATAATTGTGTGCCAAAGGAACTGCCTTGAGGGTGGGCTAGAATTAGGGTTGAGGGACAGGGATCCTCGGGGGTGGACTCTCTAAAAGGCTTCTTATTACATAGCGATTAAGACGTGGGGTTTGGGTCTGACAGATCTGATCCAGAAATCCAACTCAGAGGCTTCCTAGCTGTGTGTTCTTGGGTGAGTAATTGAACCTCCCCACGCCTCTGTTTTGTCCTCTGTAAAATGAGGATAGTGAGACTCAGGCCTCCCTTGGACAGCAGTGGGGATGCTCAAGTGCGACAGTGGTGTGTGTCCCCAGCCCTGGTCCTGCACAGGCTGCTCGGCAGATGCTGCGCTTGCTGATGTCCTTTTCCTCATGGTAAGGAGTCAATCATGTTCCAGGACCAGGTTTTTTTCACGTCTTAATGGTTTATCTTTCTCAGGGTTGGCCATACTTGGGCCTATCAATCATGTTTTATTGTATCTGCAAGGCACTTTGTAATTGTTGAAGTGCTGTTTAACAATAAGAACAATTTTCCTTCTTGGTGCATCCACTAGGTTTCAGCACCGTGCTAGAGACTTTGTGCCCCTGCTCTCAGAGGCTCACAGCATCACTGGGGAACGGGTGAGATCCCCTTACACAGGGGAAACAGGGTCTGGCCTGCGCAGGGATTTGTCTGAGTTATGGAATTGGTTTGGGGCAGAGTAGGGGCTCACATCGAGGTCTGTCAGCCCCCAAAATTCATGTCCTTTCCTCCCTAGCTTTGCTCTGTGAGTGACAGGACAGAAAGCATAAGAAAATGGAGTTTGGAGGTGTATATCCCTCATCCGTAGATGAGAAAACTGAGGCCCAGAGAGGGGAAGGAGCTTAGAACAAGCACGCCTGACTCTTGTTACACTTTATGTGGTTTTTCAGCACTTTCACATCAACTGCTTCAGCTAATCTTCCTAGAAACCCACTAGCAGGGCGAGGCAGGGCATGAGGCAGGCTGTGGAAGAATCAGGCAATAGCGAGGTATAATTGCACACTGTGTTTCTGTGGTGTAACACAATTTGGGAGACAATGTAGACTGAGCTTTTGTGTTAACTGTACCAGATGCTGTTTAGTGAGCACGTACTCCTTGACATTCACATGTCAGCACTGCTCCCTCCAGCCTGTGGGCAGCAGCGCAGCTGAGCAGCCACCTGCCCCAGCTGGTGTTCTCACACCTTGCCTCATGAGCACCGTGTGGTTAACGTGAGGATAATACACTGTACGTTCCAAGAGACTCGGAGTTTCTCTTGTTTACCAGTGTTTCCTGCACCTAGAACAGTGTTTGTACATAGGAGGTATCCAGTGTTCATGTAACAGTCATTTAACCACCGGAGACCTAGCATCCCCATCTGAGAATGGAGGATTTTATTATCGATCCTGCTGGTGGTTGTGGGAATTAGATGAGGTATCCTGGTACCTTGCATGCAGCAGGGATGCAGTGAGTGTTGGCTCTGGGTGCCCTGTCCCTTGCTGTACCCCAGGGACTGCCCTCTCCCCATACCCCTCTGCAGGCTGTTCCCACTCACTGTGTCCCTCTCTCCCTGTCTTTCTCTGCCTAGTGAATGGGAGCTACGGACACCGTACCCCGGGCTCAGAGAAGAGCCTGCTGGACCTGGACCTTGCTGAGGGCCCTGGCCCCACCTGCTGCCAGGGCCTGTTTCTCCCTGCAGGAAGCCCACCGCCCCGGGCTCACCCCCAAGCTTGTGAGAGGCTGCTGCATTTCCCCCACCCTGACAGGTAGGTGTGGGCAGCTGCTTTCTGTGGACACTCCCAGGAGGCCCCAGGACCATGGGCCTCAGGCCTCACCTCCTCTTTTTAGCTGGGGGGACACATGGGGAAATGGAGGCACGAGGGGCCCGTAGCTCAGAAGCAGCTACCTGGCCTAGATCCTGCACCTTCTGCTTTGCCTTCTGAGAGACACAAGATGGTTCTGTTGAGGTGTTTCCCTGCTGAACAAGCAGACGAAGCTTTTCACAGAGAATCAATCATTTCAGAAGAGGAAGATTCATGGGTAGGTTGGGGAAGGAAAGCCCAGCTCAGAGTTTATACAGTGTCAAACCCTGAACTGCTGATAGGGCAGAGAGGGATTCCTCCCACATACCATCTCTGCCCCAGGAGACCATGGCCCACAGAGCCCTGCTGGGTAGCTGTCCACTCAGTGCTTGCACACTTCCAGTGCCGGCCACCCTGTCTCATTAGGGTGTGCACTGGGCTGACGCCCGCCTCCTACAGCTTCTCCTGGGGTCTCAGTTGTGCCTTTGTCTTAGTCTATTTTCTGTTACATATTGACAGAATACCTGGCACTGGGTAATTTATAAAGAAAAGGAATTTATGTCTTACATTTTTGGAGGCTAAGTCCAATATTGAGGGTTTGCATCTGGTGAGGCCCTTCTTGCTGGCTGGACCTCTGCAGAGTCCCGAGGTGGCGCAGGGCATTACCTGGTGAGGGGGCTGAACACGCTAGCTCGGGTCTCTTTCGTCTTATAAAGGCACCAGTCCCACTCCCATGATCATCCATTAACCCGTGAACGGATTCATCCATACATGAGGCAGAGCCTTCATGACCCAACCCAGTCACCTTTTAAAGGCCCCACCTCTCAACACTGCCACATTTGGGATTAAGTTTCAGCATGAGTTTGGGAGGGAACAGATATTCAAACCATAGCAGCCTTGGTGCCCTCTGGTTTGCTGACAGCCAGGTCAGTCACAGACAGGCCTCTGTGCACACCAGCTCAGCCCCAGGCCCCTCACCCACTGCCTGGGGCTGCTGGCCTGAGGCCTGCTTCACAGACCAGAGATTCTAAACATTTGCCCAGTTGCCGGTTTGCAGTTTATTCCTTCACCAGCCATTTGTCAAGTGCCTGTCATGTGCCAGGCACTGTGGTCGGTGCTGGGAGCATCTTGGTGAAGGAAGCAAAGATCTCTCCTGATGGAGTTTACGTTCTCGTGAGAGCTCCACAGTGGATAAATTCCTAAATAGAAGGATGCTGTTCTTCCCAAGTGCAACCATTTTCCTTTGAGAATTTAGATTCCTTCTGGCTTCCTTTGATATTAGTAAAACTTCTGATTTTGGGTGTGTATTCGTTTGTTTAGGCTGCCATAGCAAATGCCATGGACTAGGTGGTTTAAACAACAGAATTGTGCTTTCTCACCATTCTGGAGGCTAGAAGTGCAGGACTGATGTGCCAGCAGGTTTGGTTTCTTCTGAGGCCTCTCTCCTTAGCTCGCAGATGACCGCCTTGTCGCTGAGTACTCACGTGGCCATCCCTCGGCCTGTGCCCTAATTCCTCCTTTTTTTTTTTTGAGACAGGGTCTGACTCTGTCACCCAGGCTGGAGTGCAGTGGCACAATGTTGGCTCGCTGCAGCCTCCACCTCCCAGGCTCAAGTGATCCTGCCACCTCAGCCACTCCAGCAGCTGAGACTACAGGCGTGTGCCACCACGCCTGGCTAATTTTTTATAGAGACGGGGTTTCACCATGTTGGCCGGGCTGGTCTTGAACTCCTGGGCTCAAGCAATTCACCTGCCTCAGCCTCCCAAAGTGCTGGGATTACAGGCGTGAGCCACCGTGCCCGGCCCTCATTTCTTATAAGAACACCTGTCCTATCAGAGTAGGCCCTCAACCTTATAACCTTGTTTAGCCTTAATTATTTATTTAAAGGCTCTGTCTCCAAACACAGTCAAACTGGATGTTAGGGCTTCAATGTATAAATTTTGGGGGGACACAAATCAGTCCATAGCAAGGAGCAAGCGTCTTATAGTTTTTGAGCCGTGCATTGTTTGGTGACAGTCAAATGCATTTATCTGCTGGATTCTTCTCTGGAGGCTCCCCAGTGGTACCCAATTTCCCTGGTGAAATTCATTCTATTATCTCTCAGGGTAGAAGCTGTGCTAACCTAGGAAAAGCTAAGGAAGAGGATTTTTTTTTCTTTTGCTAGAGATAGTCAGAAATATCATTTGTCATTTTGAATATCATTTTGACAATTTACGGCACAGGAGAGTCTGTGTGTAGAATTCTACGCCGGCA
Source organism: Homo sapiens (assembly GCF_000001405.40). Taxonomy (NCBI): domain Eukaryota; kingdom Metazoa; phylum Chordata; class Mammalia; order Primates; family Hominidae; genus Homo; species Homo sapiens. The sequence goes on along the minus strand of NC_000001.11, from coordinate 53,597,811 downwards.
TCAGTCTAAGTTGCTGTGCCCCCACACCCTCCCTATTAAAGTGGTTGAATTTGAGCTGACACTTTCAGACTCGCTCATTTTCCTAAAGAAAAACAGACCCCCAGCCCCTATGCCGCACCTGATCTGAATTCCGTGCCTTCCCCCAACCGCCCGACGGCCTTGTGTTTGGGGCCCCTTCTCTCCACTCTCGGCGCCTGCCCCTCCCAATCTCAGGACCTTGCAACTAGCGCCTGGGCTCCTGCGCCAGCTGCCTCCTTGCCTCCAGCCTAACTCTCTAATACTAATAAAAGCCTCGGTTTCCTGAGTGACTCCTTTGGGTGCACATTCTTGTATTCAGTCCTCATGGTCCCAGGAGGCCCAGATCCTACGGCTAATAAAAAACAATGGTGGTGTGCTTACTGTGCACTACACCCCAGGCCAAGCACTTTTTTTTTTTTTTTTTTCTGGGTCTCGCTGTGTCGCCCAGGCTGGAGTGCAATGGCGCCATCTCGGCTCACTGCAAGCTCCGCCTCCCGGGTTCACGCCATTCTCCTGCCTCAGGCTCCCGAGTAGCTGGGACTACAGGCGCCCGCCACCACACCCGGCTAATTTTTTGTAGTGTTTTTTTTTTTTTTTTTTTTTTTTTTTTTTTTTTTAGTAGAGACAGGGTTTCACCAGGCCAAGCACTTTTTATGCATTAATGCTCTCAACCCCCAACTGCCGTTGAGTGGGGAAACTGAGGCTAGAGAGGCTACATAACTAGTTCTGTTCACCAGAACTCTACCTACCCCTCAGCAGAATGTAAATGTTCTCTCAGGGGACTGGTCCACAGACTCCCCTATTGGAAGGGGAGCTGCCCAAGGTCAGGGACCTGGTCTTCCCACTTCTTCAGCATCACCCAGCACAGAGTGAAAAGCATGTTGAGTGAAATCACTGACTTTCCATTCAGACTGCAGTTCCTGAGCCCTCAGAGACATGCGATCTGAGATCCCTGCCTCTCCCCTGAGTCTCTGCTGGAGAAACACTGATTATCCCCATCTCAGCAGCTCCCTTCCAGGGAGCCCTGTCCCTTCCCCTCCCCTCCTGTACCTCATGACTGGAGCTCGGGCTGCTCCAGTTGCAGGGAGCCAGAGATGGAGGGGCTGGAGCTGCAAGGCCATCTTGGGAAACTGAGGGACAGGTGATGACCCCACAGCTCTGGCTGCAGAGAGCCCCAAGACAGTGGTGGTGAATGGCGATAAGAGCTCCCCTCACCCTGCCATCCCCTTCGCAGAGGGCTGTCACGGGGCCATCTCACTCGATCTGGCAGCCATCCTCTGAGGTAGAGAGACTTAGCCCTCATTTTACAGGCAAGGAAACTGAGGTTCAGATGGGATGAGGTGGCGTGGGGTGTCCTAGCCAGACTTCAGGCATAGCACCAGGCTCCCTGTTCTGCCTAGCCAGCCAGGGGGGTGTCCTAACTCTCAGCCCTGCCTCACTTTCCTGACCTTTCCCCTTTTCAGAGTGCTCTGGTGACAGGTAGGCCCTTCCGTCTCTCTCTGCACCTTACCTGGTCCCCCCACTCAGAATGGTGGAAGCTTCAGTGCAGGAATCCCCTTGTGTTATTTAAGCCTGGCCTCCTGCGCAGTGGTGGAGGGAATGTTCCACATGTGGGAGAGGCCCTCTGGGCACCTGTGTACCACCTATGTGGTGAAGACAGCCACCTGGCAAACCCCAGCTGTGCCCACATACACCACCCTCGCTCTCATGGGGAGGATCCTCCTGATGTCCCAGAGGAGGAGAGAGACCCAGGATGGCAAAGGACCTTGCCCACGTTTGCACGGCTGGATGTGGCTGAGCCTGATCTCAAACCCACGTGCTCCCATGGGCTGCCCTGCCTGGCCTGCCCCATGGCTTTTCCCCAAAATCGCAGTTTCATGCAGTCACATTGTGAGGGCCTGAAACCCTGGGACCCCTCAGAAGCTTTTCCTCAGTTCCTCCTGAGACACCCCCACCAGGACTGCACTTCAGACTCCCCCATGCACTGACATTAACAGTGGAAAGGCCAGGCTGCTTGGGGCGAAGTGTCATACAATTAGCATTTGTAGAAGTTAAGCTAGATTACAAAAATTAAGAAAGATTTAAAGGACATGTAAGTGGAATTTAATATACCCTGGACCTGGGTGTTCCTCAAAATGCCAGCCTCAGCCTTCTTCCTGGAGAACTCACTAGAAGGCCACGGAGAGGGAGCAGGGCAGCCCCCTGGGAAGCAGGATGGCGTGGCATCCAGGGCTGGGTGGGGGTGCTGAGCTTTGGTAAAACGATGCAAGGTCCTCCTTCCTGGTGTTCTCACCACATTCACCCTGGAGTGCATGTTATGACCTTGGCTCCCTGCAGCCTCAACCTCCTGGGCTCAAGCAATCCTCCTACCTCAGCCTCCCGAGTAGCTGGGACTACAGGTGCACACCACCACACCTGGCTAATTTGTAAATTTTTTTGTAGAGATGGAGTCTCACTATGTAGCCCAAGCTGGTCGTGAACACTCCTGGACTCAAGCAGTCCTCTTGCCTTGCCTTCCCAAAGTGCTGGGATTATAGGCATGAGCCATTGTGCCTGGCCTCCTGCCTCTTCTTTCCCTCCCCAGCCCTTCTCTTCCTCTCTCTCCCCATTTTCCTTTACACTCTGCTTGTTTTCCAGACAACCAGTCTGTAGGTGCTCTTTCTCTGCCTCTAGCCCTCAGCCTCTGCCTCCTGCCCTGGGCTTGTCCATCCCTTGATCCTCAGCTTCCCTGTCTGCCCCCACCTGAGCCTTCCCTCTGTGGCGAGCCCAGCCTCTCATGACCTCTCTGGGCACTGTCTTCCAGGTCACCTAGACCCCAGGCCACGTATGTGAACGGCAGCCTCCCAACCACACAACACATCAAACAGGAGTCCTTGCCCGACTACCAAGCCATGGCAGAGGCCCGCACATCCCTGTCTGCCCACTGTCGGGGCCCGCTGGCCACTGGCCTGCACCCAGACCTGGACCTCCCGGGCCGAAGCCTCGCCACCCCTGCGCCTTCCTGCTACCTTCTGGGCAGCGAACCCAGCTCTGGCCTGGGCCTCCAGCCCGAGACCCACCTCCCCGAGGGCAGCCTGAAGCGGTGCTGCGTCTTGGGCCTACCCCCCACCTCCCCAGCCTCCTCCTCACCCTGTGCCTCCTCCGACGTCACCTCCATCATCCGCTCCTCCCAGACGTCTCTGGTCACCTGTGTAAATGGACTCCGGAGCCCCCCTCTGACGGGAGATCTGGGGGGCCCTTCCAAGCGGGCCCGGCCTGGCCCTGCATCGACGGACAGCCATGAGGGCAGCTTGCAACTTGAAGCCTGCCGGAAGGCGAGCTTCCTGAAGCAGGAACCCGCGGATGAGTTTTCAGAGCTCTTTGGGCCTCACCAGCAGGGCCTGCCGCCCCCCTATCCCCTGTCTCAGTTGCCGCCTGGCCCAAGCCTTGGAGGCCTGGGGCTGGGCCTGGCAGGCAGGGTGGTGGCCGGGCGGCAGGCGTGCCGCTGGGTGGACTGCTGTGCAGCCTATGAGCAGCAGGAGGAGCTGGTGCGGCACATCGAGAAGAGCCACATCGACCAGCGCAAGGGCGAGGACTTCACCTGCTTCTGGGCTGGCTGCGTGCGCCGCTACAAGCCCTTCAACGCCCGCTACAAGCTGCTCATCCACATGCGAGTGCACTCGGGCGAGAAGCCCAACAAGTGCATGGTGAGTTCCCACCGGCCGCCAGGCCTCACCCCAGCCCCTCTGGCAGAGCAGCACTCACCCCAGTGCCCCAGGAGAGGCCGCCTGGGACTCCGTCCTCTGGGCTGGCTGAGATCCCTGTGGTTGAGGAGGAAAGGACCCATGCTGTGGATGTGGCCCCTGGTCAAGACGGTCAGTGCCCCTGTCACTGGGAACCGTGGCAGAGGGGCCCTCATACTCACTAGGTGCCCAGTCCCCCACCCTGAGGCATTAGATATATCTTAGCACGCCACAGGGCCCGGGGCTGTGTGCACATGCGATTGGAAAAACAGGCGTGGCCAGCCTCTTCTTTCATGTGTTTGTGCTCCATGTCCCATCTGCTGGTGGCCAAATGAGATGTGGAGAACATACTCTCCTCCAGCGCTGGGCCCTCACCACCACCCATCCCAGTGAGGTTCCCTGGGCCTTCTAGTGCTGCCTACAGCCTTGGCTTCCACCAAGGAACAGTGGGGCCTAACAGGCACCCGGCTCGAGAGCTGCAGGTCCCCAGGGCAGGGTTTGGGCTGGGGCCCAGGGTTACTAGCTAAGGCCCTGGGTAGTACCAGTAGCGTTCTTCCTGGAGTTGAGACAGGTTTCTGGCACTAGCATTATGTGTACATGCGCACGTGCACACACACATGCATGCACGCGTGCACACACACGCGCATATTAACTGTGAGTACTCAGGCCTCCAGCCCTTGTGATGGATCATTTCTGTGACAGGTCATTTCTGCCCCGTCTGTGGGGAATACTGTATCAGAGGCTAGGAGCACTCCCTGATACACTCAGCCTAACTGCTGTGCTACCTCCGAGGCACAGCCAGCCCACTAGGAGAGGTGCCTGCCCAGAAACGGCAGAGCTGGACCTCAGGGTGTGCTTGGTGTTGAGAAGCATGGGCCACCAGGGCCACTGCCCAGCCCGCCCAGCCATCAGGACAGCAGCATGGCTGGTGTGCTGGGGCTGGTGCCATAGCTAAAGTCAAGCTGTTTCACACTTGGACTTGTGCAAGTGTCAAACACTGTCATTGGACACCCACTCATGGAGCACTTGGTCTGGGAAGGGGCATAGTGTCCCCATTCAGAGCCCAGGGTGACATTGTAGGGGCCAGGAAGGAGGCAGGACACATTGGCAATCAGCAGCATAAACTCCGTCCTCCTGGGGCAAGGTGCTTGCCCTTGGGCCCCACCTACCTGTGGAGCTGGGAGCTGGGCGTCGGACAGGATCTGCTTCTGCAGCTTCAGGAGGCTGGGTCTTGAAGGAGGAGAAAGAGTTTGCTTTGTAAACAAGTGAGCAGCAGTGAATGGCCTGTGCCAAGGGGAGGCAGGAGGAGGGAGCTTGTGGTTAGCATTCTGGTGTGTGGAGCAGTGGTGGGGAGAGTGCATTGGACAGGCTGAGACTTTGACTTTATCTTGTGCCTTTGGGCTGAGAGGATGCTGGAAGGAGGCCTGGTGGCTGGGCCAGCCCCTGGCGATGCTCTGGCTTGTTTGGGGTCCTGTGACACATGCCCCTGCCTAGGAGTTGACCAATAGACAGCGCGCAGGCCAGGCCAGGGCTGCTGGGAGACAGCTGGGCCCCCATATCTCCCCGAGACCCTGGAGCTGACAGCTGCTGAGCCACAGTTCTCCTTCACATATTCTCTTTTATGGGTGAGTCTGTGGGTGCCTGTGGGGGCCGAGGTGGAGGCTCTGTGACCCGAAGGAACCTTGACAAGACTCCACAGGACACTGGCTTACACCTGGCTTCTGCCTGTGGTTAGTGGTCTTCTCACAGTGGGGCCTCTGTGTGGAATCACGGCATCCAGAAGAGTATCTGTGTTGGAAATTTGGGAAGTCAGAGAGGATCTAGCCCTTCCCCGCCCACTTTCTAGCTTGGGAAACAGGGCCCAGCGAGGGGTCAGAGGGGCCTGGGTTACTCAGTGCAGACTCAGGGTCTCTCTCTCTGCGGCCAGGCTGCCAGGATCTCACTTGATTCCACAGACTTCACAGGACACTGGCTTACACTGGCTGAGGCCTGGTTCTGGGGACCCAGACCTGGACCTCCCATGGCCCTTGCCCTGGGGACACTCATGCTCAGAGATGGGTGGGAGATGAGTGGCAGGTCCTGGGATGGAGTTTGCATAGTCCCAGGGAGGGAAGGCCCAGAAGGGCTTCATGGAGGAGGTGATATCAAGCTGTGTCTACACTCACCTATCAGTATTGTTTAATCCTTACAAGTCCTGTAAAACCAAGGGTTTTTACAAATGAAGAAACAAAGGTTGGGTGGGGTCTGGCTGGCCTTCCACTTGCTCCCATGAGAACACTTGGTCTTGCCTCTTCCAGGGTTTAGGATTGTGGTGATGATAATACCAGCAAGCAGCTTCCAAGTACAGACTGTGTGCAGGTGCTATTCTAAGTGACAACTCCACCTGGTCCTCAACACAATGCTGTGGGGTAGATACTGTGAACCCCCATTTTACAGATGAGGAAACTGAGGTTCAGGAAGATTGCATAATTTGCCCCAGGTCACACAGCTAGTTGGAAACAATAACAACAGTTATAATAAGAATAGAGGCTAAGAATGATAATGGTAATAAAAATAACTTGCTAAGGGTTACACAGCTAGTAACCATTGGAATGGGACTCGAGCCTACATCTTTCCAAACTGCAATGCTCTTGTTTGTGTAGCTCTGCTAAACTGACTATTCTCTGGGCTTTAGGGCCGGCCCCACTGGGTGTCACCATCTGGAGACAGCAGCAGTGATCTGGGCTTCGGAGGCTTGTCAGAGCCTCCCCTGGCCTCCTCTTGCCTGCGGTGGGGTGGGCGTGCTCCCTCTCCTCCATGATGCTGGCACAGTGGGTAACCCAGGGGAAGGGGTGGGCCTCAACCAGCACCCAGATAAGTAAAATCTCCCTTCCCTGTAAAATTATTAATTTTTCATGACAGGCCTCTGCTACCATGCACTGTAATAGACAAAGGAATTTTGGACCCAGAGCCTCTGGAGAACAGGAAATAGATGAGACATTTTGATTGAAGAGTAAATGGCCCACTAAAATAGCAGTTAATCCTTTTATTATCTTTCCAGCAGCCGTTTCCACAGTTCTTTCATGAGGTAAGCCTCCCCCATCCCATCCCACTGGAACACTCCCATTCTCGCAGCTGGCTTACATTTAGCCAGCGGAGCCTCTGCTCCGGCACCAGGCAGGCCTCAATGTGCTGAGAGGAGCCCAGCTCCCCTCTGCCTGAGCATCTTAGTCCTTAGGCCAGGCCTGGGACTAGGGACTTGCTGGACCCCCAAGGTCAATGGCATCACCATCCCCCACCCTGCCCTCTGCACGGCCCATCCATGCTGTCCAGAGGAAGCTCCCTAATCTTTTTGCAATATCCTGTTATGTTTCTTACGTTGCCCGAGTTGTCTCAGCCTTATTAAATGTGGTGCTTCATCTGTGTTACGATAACAAGGTTACCCGTCCAACCCAAATACTGACGCGACGACTCCAAGACATTAACTTTGAACAGATTAATTTCATGCTTTCTTAGGTTGGTTCTCCCAGACGGCCGGAATTCTGATTGTCTGCGACTGCAGAAATTAGCAGACTGTAGCTTGCTTTTCTCCACATCAAGAAGGAGAGAGGCAGAGTGAAAAAGGAAAAGTCATGACAATGCCCTTCTCTACCTTGGGTTTTATAAAACAACAATAGGCATGAGAAGAGTCCCTTACTTTGGTGAAGAGTTTTACCAAAGCTGTGAGCACGGTCCGGAAGGCATGTGCAGAGGTGAAAAGCCCAGGTCTGGAGTCCCACAGACCTGGGACCCAGCCTGGTTTAGTCACTTGGCAGCTGTGTGACCTCGTGCTGGTGACTTACCCTTTCTGAACTACAGCATACTCGATTGTAAAATGGAGTAATAATAGTACTTGCCTTTTAGGGTTGTTGTGATTAGGGATAAAAGAGATGATGTAAGGGAGGGTGCTTGCTTCCCCATCACACTCCAGCATTGATCTCAGGTGATGTGTACAGTAGCCCTGGGGCTTAGGGCAGGGTTATTTACAGCTGATTTACAGATGAAGAAACTGTGGCTCAAAAGAGCCAGTCAATGGGTGGCAGAGCCTGGACTTGAGACTGTAGCAGCCTCTGCTGTCAGTAGGGTGGGAAGGGCAGTATGTGGGTGGTTGCTTTGGGCAGGGCAGGCACTCTGTCCTTGCCATTCGATATCTACCAGGGATCCCTGATTCTTTGCATCTTGTTCATTGACAGTCATTTGCAGATCACCTTCTCTGAGTCAGACAGTGTCTGCTCAGGGGGCATGGAGCTAGGCTGGGGCAGCTGGACCTGTGGCATAGGAGGCCCATGCGTGTCCTCCCAGTCCTCATGAGCTGCTGGAGTCTCGGGCCGGGTTTTCATCCTGCCCAGCTTCCTCTGGCCACTGCAGCTGCACTGGCCACTGGTCTCCATTCCTTACGCCCCTCTCCACTGTTTGCCAGTCTGTCCCAGGTGCCTCTGAATCTAGGGCCAGAGAAATCAATCTGGTTGAAAGCTGAGTATTACGGATTGGCCTTAACTAGCCAAGGAACTCAGAACACAAGCCACCTGGCTGGACCTGCCGGGAGGGCCTTGCCCTCCTAGCCTGGGCCAAACTCACGGTCATTCCCCATAATCCTGGGGCTTCTGGCTTTCCCTTTTGCCTTGCCCCAAACCTTTACCCCCCTCCGCCAGCCCCTGAGAAACAAAATCCTGGGTGCTGGGAGGGGCGGGGGAGCTAAAGGGAGTTGCTCCTTACTGAGATTCAGAGATGGTTTTATCCTGGCTCAATGCAAGCCATTCCCTATCTGTTGTTTTGACCTCCTAGCTGGGCATGGTGGTACATGCCTGTAGCCCCAGCTACGTGGGAGGCTGAGGCAGGAGGATCACTTGGGCCAGGGAGTTTGAGGCTATAGTGAGCTATGATCACACCACTGCACTCCAGCCTGGGTGACAGAGCATGACCCTGTCTCAAAAACAAAAACCTCCGAGGCCCAGAGAGGCCAAATCACTTCTCAAGATCACACAGTCTGCCAAGTGGCAGGAGGTAGATACCAACCATATCTGCTGACCTGCCCAACCAGTGTTAACTGGAGAGAGATTTGATTGGGGTTCTGGGCTCATATCCCATGGGATATCCTGAGGGAGAAGAGAATTAATATATTCTGAAACTTACCATGGCCAGCCATGAATTACCATGCCCATTTTACAGAAGAAGAAACTGTATGTTTCTGAAGTTCGCAGGCAAAATGGCTTGCTCTGTATGACCTGCCTCAGCTGCCTGGCCCATTCTAATGGGACACACCGCCTTCTACTCATCTACTTTTGCCCAACCTCTTCCTTCAGAAGAACAGTCACCTCTGTGCTTTTCAAATCACAGTGGGTGGAGTCCCTGTGCATCTGCTGCCTTCTGCCCCCTGCCCAACATCTTGAGACCAGCCCTGTGGGCTTGAGCATTTTAAGGCCAGCACACACCCCTCACCCATTGCAACATCTGAAGCTCATCCCAGGGAATTACCCAGGATCCTGAAATGGATGAGTGGCAGGTCGGCCAGTTCATCCCATCACATACAGACAGAGAACAGGGAAGACAGACCCAGAGAGGGTGGTCAGGGGCCCAGGACTGCACAACAAGTATGCATCAGTGGGCAGGGAAAGTTCCCTGAAGGGGCTGATAATCGAAAGTTGGGGAAGGTTTAGGCTGTGGGAAAGTGACCCTCCAATTAGGAAAGAATTATTCCCCTGAAACACTTGCCTTGCTTTGGTGTGCCAGGCCTCGTGCTAGGAGCTGGGGGTGCAGAGATGAAGATGTTGTGATGTGAGACTTCTGGCACTGTGGGAAGAACACTGCTTTTGAATCTTGTGATATTATTGCTGGATGATGGAGACAGGGAGGGGAGCCAGGAGCTGAGGTTTTGCAGCCTGGCTTTATAAGCTTGGCCAGGTTGATCAAGTGGGACAAGATCATTATTGAGACGCTTGTTGGGCGATTTTCAGTTTATGTAGTGCTTCCACGTGCATGATCTCAGCCCTCAAAATATTCATGGAGACTGGAATTATGATCCCCATTTTATAGATGGGGAAAGGACAGTCCAGTTCTGGCCCAAGTTCAGGTCCCAAATGCATGGTGGGGTCGGATTTAAACCCAGGTCTCAGTCTGACTCCAGAGACTGTGTACTAGCCATGACCCCAAGCCACCTCCCAGGCACAGAATCATCAGTCTGTTTACAAACATTGAGAGAATATCCAGATCTGAAACTCATTCAGCAAGCTGTCACTAAGCACCTGCTGTGTGCCCCCTGGCTGGGTCCTGGGGTCACAGAAGGGAATCAAATCCTGCCTGGTCTCAAGGAGCCCTCAGTCGAGTGGGGAAGTAAATGGATATTGCATGTAACTATTTTTCTCAAGAAGCCAGCACCCAGTCACCTTGAGAGCCTGTTGCCTGCTGACTTGATGGGTTCTTTGTTCTGTCTTGGAGTAGAGAACACCTCATGGGTTGAAAAGTAAAACATTTCACTCTCATTAGAATAGTCGCCTGGAAACAAGCTCCCTTCCTGGAGGCTGGGGTTTCTGGTCAAATCAAAAAGCTGCCCTGGAGAATCCTGCTGTAAATGAGGCCAGAGAGGCCAAGTGGTCCCACCCACTCAAGCCACCAAGTCTATCCTCAACTTGCCTCAACTCAATCTAGGATTGGATGGATCTGGGAAGGAGACCTGTTTTGGGCAAAGTCAGCTTGCAAGTTGGCATCCAGAAGTGTCCTCGTTAATGATCCTTCCTGGGATCATGTCACTTCTCATGTCTACCCTCATTATTAGGTGGGGAAGCTGAAGCCCAGAGAGCAGGCACCATGGCCTCATGTCATCCGGTACATTAACAGCAACCCAGGGATGCCTGCTTTATTTCTTCCTGCCCTGAAGCTTCCTCTCCTCCTGAATTCCTAGAGAGTCTGCATTCTCCAGGTCCTTTAAATCCTTTGGGTCTTGGCTTTTGCTGATTCCTTTGTCTAGAATGCCTTTCCTAGCCTGGCAAACTCCTATACATCCTTCACAACTCAGTTCAGTGCTCCCTCCTTAGCTCCCCCTTTCTCTGTGCCTCCTGTTCTCCCAGCATGTGTTGCGCTGTGTGTAACAGTGGTTCCTAACATGGCCAAGTGTCTGGGGGACCACATGCCCTTCAGTGCCTGGCCTGGCCTTCATTGTGGAGGAGCTGAGTCCCCTCCCTAGGACAGAGGCTCTGCCCTGTGATTATCTGTTCTCTCTGTTCCAAGGCTGTGTGAGGTTGCCCGGACCCTGTCTTCCTGAGTAGTTTCCCATGAAGTCACAACATTGGTGGGACTTTAAAGACTGTCACGTCTACCCCCTAATCTGGTGCTTGAAGTTTTTCTGCAAGAAAGCCTGAATTTGAAACCTAGCTTTGCCACCCCTCAGCCTGTGATTGTGTACAAGTATAGCTTGACTTCTATAAGCCTCGGTTTTCTTACCTATGAAATTGGGGTAATAGGACTGTTGTGAGGCTTTGATGAGAAACTAGACAATGGCACACAGTAAGTATATCAGAATGGTCCTGGCCGTTCTGGACAGTTTGCATTTGCGAAAGAGAAAAGGGAAAGTCTAAAATGGATAGTGGCTGTTCAGTCACGAATGTCCCCAAAGAAACAGAAAAGGCTGTTGGAAGTCCCAGCTCTGCCATGGGCTGGCTCTGTGACCTTGGATGCGTCGCTTGGCTGTGCTGAGCCTCAGTTTCCTGCACTGTGAAATGGGATAGTGCCTAGCAGTCAGAGTCTGCAGTAGACAGTGTTTAGTAGGGGCTCAACAGATGCCAATGTCCTTTCTTCTCTTGAGCCCGAGGTTTAGCTCCACAGATCTTGGCTTACATTGGGATGCTTTTCTTCCTCCCCTGTTTTGGAAAAGCAAACCCAGGGGGCTTGGGCTTAACAAGGAGAGGCTTCCTGGAAGCCAGTGTCCTTCCAGTTCTCTGGCCTTGCAATTAGGTCAGAGCCTCGTCCCCCACCAGCCACTGTGCAGAGGGGAGACTGAGTCCCCAGATGGAAATAACTTGCCTGGGGAAGGACAAGAGGGACTGGAGATAGATGGAGTTGGAGACTCATCCCAGCTCTGCTGCTCACTAGCCATGCAGCCTTGGACAAGACACTTCACTCCCAAGTCTGTTTTTGCATCTGTAAAATGGGAGCTGTGATGCTCACCCCAGAAGTTTCTGTAGGGGGTGGAGGGGCTGTGCTCTGTACCTGCAGAGTGCTCTGCAGAGGGGCACTGTTGCCCTAGTCAGGGCTGCTGGGCTGAAGCTGAGTCTCTGACTCCCATTCCAGTACTCCTGCCTGCAGCCAGGCCTCTGAGTACAGACAGGGCACTTTCACAGGTGTGTTCCTCCCGGTTAGATTCCCCATCAGGAATGGAACAGGTTGGCTATGTGCTCCCCAAATGTAGTTCCTGGTCTTGAGGCCTCAGCCTGCAGCTTTGCTGGATGCCCTCCTTCCCTGCTCCACAGCCCACCCCCACCTCACTTCCACCTCCATCCCCACCCTGCCCTGTTTCACCCCCATTCCCCATCCCCCATTTCTACTTATCTCCATCCCTGACCCCCCACCCCTTTCCCTTCTTACTTAAATTCTGAGCCAGGGTGGACCAATGGCTAAACACACAGGACAACCACTAAGGTTCAAATCCCTTACTCTGCCCTTAACCAGCTGTGAGACCTCAAGACAAGTCACGTGGCATCTCTGAGCCTTGGTTTCCTGTCTGCGTGGAGGGGAGAGTGTTGTGAGAACTAGATGAGATCATATATGTGTAGCACTTACCTCGTGCCTGGCGCATATTAGATGCTTGAAAACAGGAGCCCTTGTTCCTTCCCCCACCTCCCCATTTTTTGAAGTCGTTAGTCCCAAGCTCTCACAGGGAAGAGAATTCCCAGGAGCACCAAATTTGAGGGAACAGGAGGGCTGGCCAAGTTTTGTGAGCCCAACATTGCTTTATGGAATATGAAAAAAAATTAAGGATAAAAAACACAACTATTTGAATTGAATTTAAACTAATAAAGGAAAAAGCTTTTGAACTTAATGTAAATGGAATTGAAATGATTGTCTTACTGGAGTGAGAATGTCAGATAAAATCAACAGTGACTTTAAGAAGGTGTCCAGACCATGTTTTCTGAGAGGGCCATCCTGGAAATGGCAAACTTCGTAACTGAGAATTTATAGACTCTGTCTCTGCTGGATAACAGATGGGGTTGCCAGAGCTGGCTTTGTGTGCTCACTTGGATGGCTGCAGCTGCAGACCTCAGCATCCTGTTCTCGTCTGTTAAATGGGGGATGGGCCAGGTAACCCCTAAGGTCTCGGTCACCTTGGACACACCAAGACCGAGATGCTGAGGAGAAGAGGCCCTTCTTTAGAGTCCTTCCTTAACTGTGCCCTTCCCTTGGGAGACAGCCTTGGGCTAATCTGTATTGTCCACCCCCACCTGGCCACCAACCTTTCAACACAGCTTGACACCCCCTTGTGCCAAGTTCAGTGCTAGAAGCAAGGAGTACAGTGTCAAAGGAAGAATGGTCTGGTGGCAAATGAATTAACCAAATGCCTCTGACACAGAGGAGGGAGAAGGATTTCCTCAGGATGTCATGAGAGCTGGGCTCTGACAGGTGGGTGGGCACTTTCCAGGTGTAGACCATGAGAAGACCCATTGCAGGGAAAGGAAACAGCACACGTGAAGGTTTTGACATGTGATAGTCTTGACCTTGTGGGGAACATAGGTGTCCTTTTGGTCTTGAAGTGAATTACCTGCATGGGGGCTGAGGGCAGAAACATCGGAATTGAGCCTCAAAGGGCCTCAAGGTCTAGTGTAAGGAAATTGGACTGTGCCCCGAGGGAGTGGAGAGAGTCTCAGAAGAGTTGTACACAGGACTGTGATATGGGCAGAGGTAACATTTAGTGTTGCTAGTGTGGTGGGTACATGGCAATTGGCAGATGAGGACACTGGGGCTCAGGAAGGGCAGTCCACTCAAATCTGGAGCCCTTCTTCCACAGATCCACCGGCCTCGGACCATGCACCCAGTCTTGCCAACGCCTGGGCACCCGTGGGCCAGGCCAGGTCAGCCTAGTGTGTCGTGCTGGGGCACAGTGTCTGCACATGTTTGGGTAATGGAGCTGGGTCCTCCTTCGGAAACTGCCTCCAGCACATTTGCCAGTGGGAAATGGGAAAAGCATATCCCATAATGTGGTTCCGTAAAGTTTGCACAACTGTTCTTTGTTTTCCACCCGTCCCCACAATAAATCTTCTTCCACTGCCAGGACTGGGGCCTCCGTGGTCTGTAAGTGATTAAGGCACCGACTTTCCCGGCCCCTCCTCCTCGCAATACATTCTTGTGACGTGGGTAATGATAAAATGAGAATCTGTCACTGAGATTCTGTTGCCTTGCAAGTAGCAATTTCCAAATGGCTGGGAGGTGGCCTCCTGTTAGAAGGCAGCCTGCTCTTGCCCTCTCTGTATAGCCACTTCCCTTGATAGGTCCTGCCATGTTGGGACATAAGCTCAGACAGCAGATGGACAATGTGGTACTGGGCGGTACGTTTCCTGGGGATGGGGCAATGGGACTGGAGGTCTCTGCAGGACTCTGCATTCTGGGGGGCAAGACTGGGACATCTGCTGGGCACAGAGCACCCAGTGAGTGTCTGTTCAACTGATGAACCATCTAGCAGCCCCTTTGTTTTATCAGATCCCCAAGCCATAGTGTTTTCAAGCCAAAAGTAACATTTGTATCTTCCTGGGGAACAGTCAGGCCCTGGGCAGGGCCCTGGGCTGCAGAGTTTTGATGGCTAGATCCTGTGCTCAGGGAAGGCACAGGGCGGTGGCTGGATTGCTGTTTCACAGTGGGGTCACTGAAATGCACAGAGTGGAAGCTACTTGGCCAGTGTTACATCTGCGCCTCCAGCTCAGGTCCTGGCTCTGCCCCATGATCTTCCCGCTGTCCCTAGTTGCCTACCACATTTAAATGTGAGTGTATTCTTCCCAGCATCTGCTGAACCCCAAGTTTTGGGAGGCAGTTTGGCTTACGGGGTCATTTCTGATCAGGCTGAGTTGCCAGTGAACATGACAGTGATTGGAGCTTAAGAGAGTCTGGCCACAGGCAGAAAAAATGAGTGCTTCAGATACTTCCGTAAGATCCCCAGTACCCCTTCTACCTGCTCCCCTCCCTCCTTCCCACAGGAGTCCAGGACAACAGAAGGTGCCTCAGCTAGGCCACAAGGCCGACTGCCTGGATCTTCACATTTGCTGTTTGCAGATGTGGAAACTGAGGCCCATAGAGAGGATGTGGCTCACTGGAAATTGCAGAGCGAAAGAGGCAAGCTCAGCATCCCTCACTCCCAGCCAGTGTCCTGCCTGCTAGACACCACAGTCTGCTGAGTACCACCTGTGTGCTAGTACCACCTGCGGTGAGCACTTACATGTGTTGCCTTCCAGATTCTGAAGAACACTGGCTCTTGTCATGTGCACTGGGAGGAAATTTCCCAGGTTCAGCAGCTCCTCTGATGCCCCTCCCAACCCCTGCCACACCCTTTGACAGATGGGGCCTTGAGACCCAGGGCGGAGAGGTGACCTGCTGGAGGTCACACAGCAGGAGACGGTTGGCGGTGCATGTAGACCACACGTGTCAAAATCACCTTCCCTCCTAGCAGGGTCTGATTCACAAAGAGCTGCTGGGCAGGCTCCAGGGAGACTTTAACCAGTTTCAAATGTCACACCTTCTTAGTGCATTGGGAAGGTGTGATGACTGATTGCTGTGGGTGTTAGGGTCAGAGGAAGCCTGGCTTGTGCAAAGACCCACACAGGCTTGCACCAGTGCCAGCTCTGCTTCCACTGCCTGGCTCTGCCAGCCTCCTTTCTTCATTTGCATGGAGCCACCTGACTGTGGGGCCTTAGTTCCTCTGTATGTGATTAGGACTTGGATTAGATGAAGTTGGAAGCCCTCCTAGGTCTCCTGACCCTGATACAGTCTAAGTAGAGACAGTGAGGCCAGGGGTTCAGAGCTAGGTTCCCTCCCCAACTCTGCATTCAAATTGTCTGTGGTTCTGGGCAAGTCATCCCACCCCTCTGAGTCCTCAGTTTTCTCATCTATAAAATGGAAGACTTGGACTCCATTGAGCTCCATCCTGTGAGCTCAGACATTCAGATGTCCATAGTTACTTTCCTGCATTCCTGGCACACCCTAGGGAGGAGGAAGGGGGTGGAGGGCATGGAAAGGGCAGGTGTGGGCCCCTCCTGAGCTCTCTGGCCCCAGTTCCTTCCACACTCCTCTCTCTTGCTCTGTTCCGGCTGTTCCTCAGATATGCTAAGTTCATTTCCACCTCTGGCTCTTTACATGGCTGCCCCGTCTGCCTGGAATGCTCTTGCCCCAGCCTGACCTCTGCTCCCATGTCACCTCCTCCAGGAGGCCTTCCCTGACTGCCTCTCGAAAGTAGCACCTTTGGCCACTGTCTGCCCCTATATTCCACCTGAAATCCTGTTATGTGTTTGTCTATGATCTGTCCTCCAGCCAAACTTGAGCTCCATAAAGTCTAGATGTTTTTGTTTTGTTCCCTCTGTATCTCCAATGCCTCAAACAGTTCCCGATGCACAATATGTGATCAACAGATAAATGAATGTTAGTAATAAAAAGGGGGAGAGTGGTTCAGTGGGGCAGAAGGAATGGAACATGCTAGAAAGGACTCAGACAGAGAGTCAGGACTCTTGTCCTATGAAGTGGGGGGTTTTGCAGCAGCTCACAGGGTCGTGTTGAGGGCTGCACGGTTGCTGTCCCAGAGGTATTTCTGGGTCAGCCTAGCTGGGACTGTCCGCCCAGGGAGGCCAGCCCAGTGCCCAGTACCCAGTGGTGCTCAGCACCCACTTACCCCTGACCCCTATTTCCCTCCCTTCTTCATCGGCATTATCAGGTTACAGGAGAGGCTATGCCCTCAGTTCACAGCTCCTGGAATGTCAGATTCAGACAGGAACATAGAAACCATCTGCTGCGACTGGAAACACAAATTTGGAAACTGAGGCCCAGAGAGGCGTTCTTATCCAGGTTCCCACACTGTTTCGCTCTTGGAAAGGAATTTACGATCAAGTCCTCCACATAGTAGATGCTCAGTAATTAGCTGCTGCTGCAGCAGCTGTTTATCATTAAGCCCATCTCTGCAGATTCTGTTTTTATGACCATGGGCACAGAGGTGGGGCAGGAGTACAATTTTGCATTAATTGATAACAAAAGGATGGAAACAGCCAAGAATGCAGCAGGAAAAATGATTCCACCATCCAAAAACAGCTATTTTAAAGTGTGAGGAAGGAAGGAAAGCGGCATTGGTTAGGCACGTGTTCTCTTCCATATGCCAGACTAAGGCTTTCGTCCATGTTTTCTCAGTGGATCTTGTGATGCGCTCATTTTATGGATGAGGAAACTGAGGCCCAGAGAGATCAAGAGCTGGGATTCCAGCCCCTGGCCTCCCCCTGCTCTGGGGTACCCTCTGTCAGCATCAGCGATGACTCCTCTTTTAAATTGAGCTCACCTTGGAGGACCCCTGACCAGGCCTCTTAATTAGTTCCTGCGATTCCTCAAAAGCAGTCACGTGTAATTTGGGCTCTTCATGGATTTGGAGCATATCTCTCCACTTAACCTGCACAAAACCTCTGGGGAGGTTTTGCTAAATCAAGAATCAGCACTAGGAGCTCAAGGTGTCCTCTTGCCTCACTCCCTGACCTTTGTGTACAGGAAGATACCAACCTCACAGGTAGGGAGGCCTGTAGGGCTCGGGAAAGGGAGGGCTTGGGGCAGCGGCCTGGGGCTCCAGCCCTGAAAGAGGGTGCAGGAACCAGGTCAGGATGGAGGGGCTCTGCGGCTCATGGCTCTACCCATGGGGGCAGAAGACAGAATGTGGGGAGGTCCCATGGCCAGTAAGAGGTGGCATGGGGTTCAGGTAAGCCTGCAGGCATAGCCACCCCTCAAGAGGCCTAGGCTCTGCCCCAGGGGCTCCTGGAATCAAGATTCTGATCCCAGGCCTTACCTGATCCCTTATTCATCAGGACGGTGGCTGCACATGCATTTTCCTTGTTCTGGTCTCAGTTTACTTACCTGTTCAGTGGAAATGATAACCGTGTCCAATTGCTTACCTGCCCTTTACTCCGTATAGTCCTACGATAACCTCATGTCATTGGGACCATTGCCCTATCTTTCCAACGCAGACACTGGGACTGGAGAGATAGGGAGCTGGCTGAGCGGCAGGGAGGTCTGTGACAAAGCCCAGGGCAGGCGATTGCCCTGTGCACCTCTCCCTCTGAGCCCGTTGCCACACCCTGGGGTGTGATGATGTTTTCCTGGGCCAGCTCTGCCCCCACGGCTGCCCCCATGGCTGCCCCCGCGGCAAGCACAGCTTGCGTACTGGGGGAAGACAAGGTGTGGTCCTGAGGAGTGAGGGCTGCTTCCAGCTCCAGCTGATAGGAACAGAGGGTATGATGCCTGCAGTCAGCACCTCTGTCGGGAGGTTGGCAGCTCATGGCTTCGAAGCACCAGCTCTTTAATTGTCTCCATATTGTGAACCCAGGAAGATCTGTCCTGACAACTGGTTGGTGAAATCAGCCATGGGATCCCCCTCCCACAGCCTGAGCAGCGGTTTCAGCCTTTCAAAAGCTGTCTGAGGTGGTTACCTAGAGGGTAAATTAGATTCACCTGGCAAGGCCTCATGTCCCCTGGCACGGTCGTGAGAATGCTGAAGGTTGTTGCCCTTGGATCTGTGTCAGAGAGAGAAGCATGGAGTAGGCCTGGGCCCCAGGAAGCTGGGCAGGGGGCAATAGGAGTGTCCAGTCCCCATTGGTGAGATGGTAAATCCAGTGGGGCTTTCTCATTGACGTCCTCAAGTTCCAGCACCTCTGCCTTTGGGCCCTTTCCTCCATGAGAAACATTTAAAAGTATATTTTATGACAGCATTGGTATAAAGAAAAACATATTATGTATTAACACATTTTCTTTGACCTAAACTGTTTTTTTTTTTTTTGGATTTTAAATTAAAACATTTTCATGAGTTCCTAGAAGTATCATGGACTGTAGGTTCTGTGCCTGCTGTGTCTCCTAGAAAATCAGCCCCAAGAGCAAGGCCTGCAGATCCTGGGGCTGCTTGCAGAATGGTACATGTTTTCTTCACCCCTTCCCTTCTCTGGGCTTCAATTTCATCCTCTGTGAAAAGGGGTAGGTGGAGGAAAATCCTGTTGCAATGTTCTACTCTGCTCCCTTCTGTTACAGTTGATTTTGTTCCTTATCATTGAGTTATTGTTTTCCATTAAGAAATGATGGATAGTTACAATAAAAGATCTATGTGCAGTTAAATTGACATAGATTAGAGAAAAGGACATAAATACTTGGAAAACCTAAGCTCACTTAATTATCGTGATTGAATCGTATATTTTCCTGGAGCTTCCTGGTAGCCAAAGCAAAGAGGGCAACTTGTTGATACAGGATTCTTTTTGAGTGGGAAAGGAAGCAGACCAGCCAGCTTGTGTGCTGGGGGCAGTTTTGTCTGGATATTAATCCCTACGAGGTCTTATGTGTGAGTCATATGAGCTGATGGCTGGAGGAAGGCTGTAAAAATGAGAGAGTTCATTATTAACAGGTGATGATACAGAGACCCTGAACAAAACAATAGACCTTATTTTCACAAATAACTATGCTACTATTATTTGAGAAAAGCCAAGGGCAAGTAAACACTGGTAGTGAAGGACCTAGGTCCTAGTCTGTGTGGTGCTGTTAGCCTAGCAATATGTCAGCCCTCTGAGGTAGCTGTCATTATCCCCATTTTACAGTAGAGGACATTGAGATTCAGAGAAGTTAATTAACTTGACCCCGATCACCCAGTGGGATTCAGGCTGCTATAGCAAGCAGCCTGTCTTTGCAGACTTCAAGTCTGAGTCTATTACTTGAGACTGATGCAGTCCTTTACTCAAGGAGTCTGTAGCCTAGTGGACTCCAAGGTCCCCGAGGGTGACACTGTTTGCCCTCTTCTTTTACCTGCTTTAAGGAGGTGCTCAGGGGATGATGGGGCCTAGGAGAAGGAGCAACAATCAGCCTGGGCCTAGGGTAGGGGGATCAGGATGGCATCGTGGAGGAGATAAAAGGGCTTCCAGGAGGAGGCACTGGCATGGGGAAGGGCCAGGGTGTGAGTTAACGAAGCCTCGCTTGGAGTGGTGGCAGAGGAGGAGAGAATGTCTACCTGCCAGGTTCCTTAGTTACAAGCAGCAGAAACCAATCCTGGCCATAGTGAGCCCTGCATCCCCACTCAGAAATATATTGGCAGGCTCCAGGGACCACAGGCTATCTGTCCAAGGGAAGAGGATCAGACTCAAAACAGGCAGGATCCCAGGTCCTCCAGGGGCACACAAGCTTAGAGCCTACCCAGACACCATGATGGGATCCTCACTTCTGTGCTCCAGGGCCACAGCTGTAGCAGGGCAACCCACTGGCCAGGCCTGGCTGCCCTCAGGTGGATAGGGGCTGGACCCTGCTTTGTGGGAGGCATAGGTGTTCCCTATTTACAACTTCACTTCCCGCACTCAAGGAGTGATAGTTCTTACTATGGGGAAACTGGGCAGCCAGTAAGACTCACGTGTTTGTCAGCTCCAGAAATGGCTTGATCTGAGAGAGAGAATCAGGAGGGACAGGTCACCAGGAGGCAGTGCGGAGTCTGCTAGATGCATGGGGTGGGGTGGGGAGCCCAGTTGAGGGCTCCAGCCTCTGGCCTGGGTTCATTGAGTGGGTGCTGGTGCAGGCCTGGCAGCTTGGGGAGGAAGCTGTGACTTGATCTGGGGCATGCTGAATAGGGAGGTGTCAGCCAGAGGGCCCCAGGGGGGTAGGGGATGCGCAAGTCTGGAGCTCCTAAGGCAGGAGAGGGGTGTGGTCAGCCTCAAGGTAGACTAAGAAGCATGGAGGGGGGGGAGGCTGGAGGAGCTAGCCTGTGAGATGGGGGGCTAGAGAGCACCCACAGGGGACATCAGCATTTATTGGGGGAGGGAGGAAGAACAGGGAAAGTGAGGCACAGAGATTGGGTGGCCAAGGGGACAGTGTGGTGGGGTGAGCAGTGGAGCCATCAGGAAAAGCCCTGGGGTCAGGGAGGGTTTTGGTGGAAGCAGAGGGAACCTGGGCCTTGTTAGAATGTGAATGAGAAGGGCTGGAGGAGAAAAGGGCAGTTTGAAAGCAGCCGAGGGGGACATTTGAGGGAAAACTGACTGCACAGCAGACCAGGTGGCTTAGGTTGAGGAGAGTGGGGTACAGAGTTGAGCCCTCGAGCCTGTGCTGGTGTGGACTGTATGCAGGCGTGTGTGTTTGTGCATGCATGCACGAGTATGTGTGCATATGTGTGTGCACGTTGTGGTCATTGCCTTCTTAGCAGCTGGAATCCAGGAAGGCGGAGCTGATCCATGCATTTTGCTCAGGGTTTATACCAGCCTAGCAGCTGAGAGGGCCAGAAGGACAGGGAGAGGCATCTGAGCTGGGCAGTGAGGAGGTGGGGGCCAGAGAGGCCCAGTGGATGGGGAGGCGGGAGGTCAGGGGTGCACTAGCTAACTAGCTGGAAGAAGAGGCAGCTGTGCTCAGTGATCACCATGGCCATCTGCCAGGAATTGCTTGAGGGTTTTACATGGGTCATCTCACACTGCAAAATAGGTATTATTCTCTCTCTTTTATGGATGAGGAAATGGGACACAGCAAAGTTAAGTCACGTATGCTTGGTCACACAGCTAGTGCTGGAGCTGAGATTGTCCCTGCATCTGATGCCCCAGTAGGATGTGTGGATCTGGGAGGGGGCATTGAGGAGGATGGAGGAGAGAGGATTTGGGGAAGGAGACCAGGATAGGAAGTCACCCAATGTGGCTGGGCCTGGATCAGGGAGGAAGCCTGGCCTCAGAAACAGGGCCTTTGCTGAGTGTGGAGTGTGAAGTACCCGGGGTACACGTCTCCAGGAGCTGGTGAGGGGGACGGGTAGGAAAGGGGCGGTGGGCATCTGAGGTGAGGAGGCAGAGAAAGCAAGTCTGTCTCCTCTGAGGGTGTTTTGCTAAGCCCTGGGGTGCAGCAAGCACGGTGTGGAGTGATGACTTTGACTGTCCTTTCCCTGGGGACACACAAGAGCAGAGTGGTTTTGGTTGTTCGTGCCCACTGTACCCCCTTGGGGCCCTCTTTGATCTCCTCCTGACTGTGCATGTGCCCTGTGTCTTACAGAGGGGACCCGCAGGGCGGCATAATCAGAGGGCATTACAGAATCCTCCTGTGTAGCCCCTCCTGCACCCATCCCAGCCCAGTGCTGCTCCTGCATGGGTGTCACTGTTTGTGTGTGTTCATTCATTCACTCAATCCTGCATTCATTCACCAAGCACCTGCTCCATGTCCTGCCTTGTGCTGAGTGTTGGCCACACAGCCAGGAATCTTGCCCTGGAAGTGCTCATAGTCCAGACAAGGAGAGCCACTTGTGACCCAAGTCACACAACCAACCACGGGATGGATACCCTGAGGGAAGACAGGCAGGAGCTCAGAGGAGGGGACTTGGACACTAGGGCCCCGTGTGGGGAGGAAAGCTTGATAAGAACTACCGAGGTGCTAAAGGACAGGAAGGGTGTCCCAGGAGAGGGACCAGCATAGGCAAAGCTTGGAGATGAGAGTTGTGTGAGGCCCAGAGCATGGAGTGATGGAGGAGGCCAAAGAGGCAGGCAGGGGCCCGGTGATGGGGGACTGTAGATGTCAGACTGAGGAGCTTGGGCTTTGTCTTCAGGGCTGCAGAGACCGCAGGAGGGTTGAAGCAGGGGGGCGTGAGGCGTGTGTGAACAGAGGCTTGTGTGAGCTTCCTGTTCCCCGTGAGGGCCAGCGCCCATAGGCAGCCGGGATGTTAATTGCAATCTGTGCTCCGTTCTTGATAACTCACAGATAATTTAATTCTAGAAATTTTTCCAAGAACATAGTATCTTTAGTTGCCATTTCCCAGGGTTTAATAACCCCTTTTCTCCAGATTTATATAGGCTGCTGGAAAGTACTGTGCTTGCAAGCAGTTTTCCAACTTGGCCCAAGTATCCTCTGTGTTGGGCCAAGGTGTCCAGTGAGGGCCCAGATGAGATGTGAGGTTCAGACCGGGGCTGCCCACCCTGCCCCCGGAGTGATCACACCATTTGTTAAGAGAGTTGCTGTGAAGGAGCCTGACTGTGGGCGAGGGAAGACATCCTCCCTCCAACGGGCCTGTGGCCAAACCTTGACTAAACTCAGCCCTCCTGCCCCAGCTTTTTACCACATTCACAGCTAGACCCCATGGCCCCATGAGGATCACAGTGCCCCTTGCTAATGGTACAGCTGGAATGACAAATGTGGCTTAGACACAAGGCCCAGGTGGGGCTGCTTCCTTTACTCATATTGGGGACCAGCAGACATCATGACCCACCAGCCTCTCCAGGCAGAGAAAGGGTGAGAAACTTCTTCCCCAAAACTAGTCCCCAGGGCTTGCTGTGCTGTGTGACCGGGGGAAAGTCACTTTACCTTTCTGAAGCTTCTGTTTCCTCACCTGTACAATGGTGTTTAGGTGGGTGTCCCAGAGCAGAGCCTGAGAGGGGGATTAGTATACAGGTAATCTCCCAGGGGAGACTGCGTGGGAGGCCCTGCTGCTTGTGGCAGTAATGATGCCTGTCTTCCAAGGTGAGAAGTGTTCATTCATTCAATAATCTTATTGAGTACCCAGAATATGCCAGGCCATGTGCATGTTCTGGGTACAGAGCGGTGCATATTCTGGGACAGAGCAGTGAATGGGACCTGAGGTGAAGGCAGGCTGGATGGGGCAGTGGCAGGGGAAGCTGACCAAAGGCCCAGTGATATGTGTGGAAACTGAGGCTCAGAGCTGTGCTGGACCAGGGAGGGCCTCACGGACAGTGCCCTGGAAGGAACTTGGAACCAGGACCACAGAGGTGTGGGTGGTCTCAGAGTGGTGAGGCCCCACCCAGATCACGGAGTTCTGCCATCTGAGTGCCTGGAGCCGGCTGCAGGATGGAGCAGCAGTTGGTCTATCTTTGCAGGAGCTGGCTGGCCTGCAGCAGCTGCTGCTCTAATAGTCATTGCCTTACCATTTGTAGTGCATGGAATGGAGCAGAAAGGATGCCCTGAGTGTCTGTTTATGCTGTTTCTAAAAGAGCCCCTTAGATGCCAGGCTTGCTGAGCAACCAAGGAGAAATCTGTGGTCTCCAGCATTAGCCGGAGCCACTCCGAAGGGATGTTTTCAGGGTATACCAAGTCCATTTCTAGGAAAGCACTGAGGCTGCCTCCCTCAAGAAGCTCCGACCCTGACACCCTGGCTTCTGACATTCCTGTGTCTGAGGGCCCATGTGTGCATGCATCTGCGTGCTCCTCACACCACGTCTCTAACTGTGCATGTGTGTGTGCGTGTACATGTGCATGTGCTTGTGTGGCACATTTGTATGGTTGAACGTGTTACATGGGTCAAGATGTCATGTGTCCTCCTGTGTGTTAGTTTTTGACCATGTAACTATGTGTACGTGTGGCTGTGTGTGTCTGCACATCTCTGTGTGTGTCCATACAACGTAGGTCTGGGAATGTGGGCTCTATAAGCCTGAGGAGGGCACCATTCCTTCAGGCCGGGGTGGTCAGAGGAAGTACACCAAGAAGGGTGGGCTGGATTGGGCCCTGGAGAGTGGACATAAATTGGAGGGGGTGGAGGGTCTCCCCCCACCGCCACTGTCCTTCCCCCATTCTCAAAGCTTAGAGGGAGAAAGCTATTGAAATAGGTTTCAGCTCTGTACCAGGATGGACTTTCTAACAGGCGGCACCTTCCCCAGCAGACAGAAGGGATGAGGTTTCCATCCCCAAAGTGTGGGAGCAGAGGCTGGCCTGCCACTTGGTAATTGAGCTCAGTAAACATTCGCTGAAGCTCTGTATTCCATACCAGGGCTCGCATTGGACCCTGGGACACAGACATAATTCAGCTTGAGTTCCAGCCCTCAAGAAGATGGACCCATAAACTGCTGGTGGTAACCTGTAAGACTGGTTCTCCAAAGAAAAATACAAAACACAGTGACTGAGCCTTTGGTGTGCTAGGCTCTGTTCTGAGCACACTAACACTTTTGAGCTAGGTGCTGTTTTACAAATGACAGACTCAAGCCCAAGCAGTGAAGCAGCTTGCTTGACTGTGCCTGCAGCAAGCAGAGGCGCAGCTAGGATTGGAGCCTTCACCCCTGAGACAGGAGGCCTTGGGGCCACTGACCCTCCTCCCTTGCCCCAGCTCCAGGCAATGGGGTCAGCCAGAGCCAGAAAGAGGCATGTTTCTGTCCCCAGAGCTCATATGTGTCCAATAGGTTCCTGTGCCATCCTGCTGGCTCCTTGCCAGCCATTCTCTGAGAGCTCTCAGCACTGGGCTGTGTTATTAATCACCAAGGCCTGGAGGCTGCTGCAGTGCCTGCTGAGAATTTTAATCCACCAGGAATGTAAACGTCCCCTGACTGCACGGAGGCTGTTGGCCATGGTGCCACCTGATGTAGTTGCTCCTATGACAGGGCTGGAAAGAGTCTCCCCACTGCAGCCCAAAGGGAGGTGGGCAAACAGGTAGAGAGGACAGCTGGTGTCGTGGAAGGAGCACTGGATCAGGTGGATGGGGTGTCTGGGTCCTTGCCCTGCCAGTGACTGCGCTGATCTTTATTAATAGTAAAAATAAAAGTAGTAAATGCTCAGTGTTTCATACATGCCAGATACTGTGCTGCAATAGGATGAGCTCCCAATACCCACAGGGGAGGTGTCACCATTCTCATTTTACAGATGGAGAAATAAATGGAAGCTTAGAGAAGGAAAGATACTTGTCAGGGCAATGCTCTGGGAAGTGGAGACACCAGGATTTGCATAAGTACTATTTGGCCCCAGAGCCCTGACTCATGTTTAATTTTTTAATTATATCATATTTGATATATTCAAGAGAATACATGCAAATATGTGTAAGCAATAAAGCATAACAAAATGAACATCTGTGAATTCCTGGAACTACTGCCTATTTTCTGTTTAGTGTTCGCTGCTTTCTTTAACATGATTTCATCACACATATGTATCCTTAAACAATATATTGTTTGGTTTTGCTTGGTTTAAAGCTTTATAAAAATAGTCTCATACTGTATGTGGTCTCTGCAGTTTTTTCACTTAATATTATATTTTTAAGATTTTGGCCGGGCGTGGTGGCTCACGCCTGTAATCCCAGCACTTTAGGAGGCTGAGGCGGGCGGATCACGAGGTCAGGAGATCGAGACCATCCTGGCTAACACGGTGAAACCCCGTCTGTACTAAAAATACAAAAAAAATTAGCCGGGCATGGTGGCGGGCGCCTATAGTCCCAGCTACTTGGGAGGCTGAGGCAGGAGAATGGCATGAACCTGGGAGGTGGAGCTTGCAGCGAGCCCAGATCGTGCCACTGCACTCCAGACTGAGTGACAGAGTGAGACTCTGTCTCAAAAAAAAAAAATTTTTATCCATATTATTGTGTGCAGCTATAATTCATTCATTTTCACTACTGTATACTATTACATTCTGTGAATAACTCAAACTTTAATCATTCTCTTGTTGATGGACATTTGGGTTGTTTCAGTTTTCTGCTAGTACAAACAACGCTGCTGTGAATATTCTTGTTCATGTCTCTTTTTGAACCTATGGAACATTTTCACTAGAATGTGTGCCTAGAAATGAAATTGCTGGCTTAGGGAATGTATGAAAATGCCGGCTTGTTTTCAAAAGTGGTTGTTCCGCTTATACTCGCACCTACAGCATATTGAAGTCCTGTGGTTCTATGTCCTCAAAAATGTTATGTAACTATGCCAGTTTGGCAGGTGTGAAATGGCATCTCGTGGTCTTAATTTTCATTTTTAGCTGATTACTAATGAGGTTGAGCACTTTTCACAGTTTATAGGCCATTTGTGTTTCCTCTTCTGTAAAAGTCCTTTCACGTCCTCTGCCCATTTTTCTATTGGTTGTTTGTCTTTTTCTTATTGATTTATAGGAATTCTTGATATTTTCTGTCAGTTTGTGACTTAGCTTCACTTTCCTGATGGTATTTTTTTTTAGTAGAAGCTTTTCATTTTCATGAGTGGAATTTATCAATCTTTCCTTTTATTGTTTGTATTTTTGTGTCTGCAGTAAAATGTCCTTCTCTACCTTAATGCTACAGATAAATCCTCTGATAATGGGAGGGCTTATTTTACATTTTTACTTTCACATTTATTTTTAATCCATTGGAATTAGAGTATATGGTATGAGGTAGGAATCCAGTTTGATTTGTTTCCAGCTGGATATCCAGCTATTCTGGGAGCCGTTTGTTGGATTGCCTATCTTTTTACTAGTGATCTGCAAATCCAGTGATCTGTAGTGCCACTCTGTCATATATCAGAGACTCTGTATATCTATGAGCCTATTTCTGGGCACTTCTGTTCTATTACTGAGTTTTTCTACCCCTGCACCAATACCACAGCACATTAATTACCATAGTTTCATAAAAAGTTTTTGCTAGTATCTAGTAGAAAAGTCCATCCCCGCTATTTCCCACCCCAGTCTTGTTTTAGTGTTCCTTGGCTTTTCTTGGACTTTGCTCTTCCATATGTGTATTTTGGAATCAACTTTAAAATTTCCACGAAGCCAGGTGCAGTGGCTTACACTCGTAATACCAGCTACTTGTGAGACTGGGGTGGGAGGATTGTTTGAGGCCAGGAGTTTGAGACCAGTCTGGGCAACATAGTAAGACCCCCATCTCTAAACAATTTTTTTTTTTTTTAAATTAGCCAAGAATGGTGCTCGCCTGTAGTCCCAGTGACTTGGGAGGCTGAGGTAGGAAGATTGCTTGAGCCCAGGAGTTCAAGTCTTCAGTAAACTATCTATTATAAATACCAGTGCACTCCAGCCTGGGTGATGGAGTAAGATCTCAACTCAAATAATAAAAAAAGAAAGAGAGAAAGGAAAAAGAGGTCAGGGAGAGGGAGGGAAAGAAAGAAATTTCTATGGAAAACCTTGATTAGATTTTGATTGGAATTCCATTTACTCTATAGATCAATTTGGTTGGGGGGAACGGGAATAGGACCTCTTTATATGATTATTAATTCTTATTGTTCATAAACATGTTCTTTGTGACTTTCTACAGTGTTTTATATTTTTCTCTATATATGTATTATATATCTTTCTTTTAAAGATGTATTATAAGTCTTCTTATGCTTTTTGTTGTGATTGTGAATTTTATCTTTTTTAATTACTTTTTTATTTGTTCCTGGTGAATAGAAATAAAATCGCTTTTTAAATATTTATATTATACCCAGCCAACTTGCCAAATTCTCTTATTATTTCTATTCATTTTTGTGTAGATTCTTTTGATATTTCTATATAGACTTTCATAGATGTGAATAAAGAACATTTTATTCCTTTTCAATTTTTATACTTTGTTTTATCTTTTTCAGAAATAATGATAGTAGACCTCCTTGTCTTGCTCCTGATTTTAAATGCTTCCAATATTTTACCATTAAGTGTAATATCTCCTATAGGATTTTTATGGACTCTTTCTCTCAGATTAAAGGCTTTTTTAAAAAAAAAAATAGACTTTCTTTTTTAGAGCAGTTTTAGGTTCACGGCAAAACAGAGTGGAAGGTACATGGAGTTACCCTATACCCCTGCCCTCACACACGCAGCCTCCCCTGCTATCAACATCTCACACCAGAGTGGTGCATTTGTTACGATCAACGAACCTACATTGACACATCATTATCACCCAAAGTCCATAGTTTACATTAAGGTTCATTCTTGGTATTGTACATTCTGTGGATTTGGACAAAGGTATAATGACATGTATCTACCATTATAGGACCACACACAATAGTTTTTCTGCTCTAAAAGTCCTCTGTGTGCTGCCTGTTTATCCCTCCTTCCCTTGGCAACCACCGATGTTTTCACTGTCTCCTTAGTTTGTACTTTTTCAGAGTGTCATATGGTTGGAATCATACAGTATGTAGCCTTCTCAGATTGGCATATTTCATTTAGTAATATGCATTTAAGTTTCTTCCAGGTCTTTTTATAGCTCAATAGCTCATTCCTTTTCACTACTGAATAATATTCCATTGTCTAGATGCAACACAGTTTACTTACCCATTCACCTACTGTATTAGTCTGTTCTCACACTGCTATAAAGAACTACCTGAGACTGGGTAATTTATGAAGAAAAGAGGTTTAATTGACTCACAGAGCCACAGGCTTAACAGGAAGCGTGACTGGGAGAGCTCAGGAAATTTACACTTATGGTGTAAGGTGAAGGGGAAGCAAGCATGTCTTATCATGGTGGAGCAGGAGACAGAGAAGGGGGAGGTGCCACACACTTTTAAATGATTAGATCTTGTGAGGACTCACTCACTATCACAAGACAGGGGAAATCCGCCCATGATCCAATCACCTCCTACCAGGCCCCTTCCCTGATACCTGGGGATTACAATTTGAGATGAAATTTGGGTGGGGACACAGAGCCAAACCATATCATTCCACCCCTGCACCTCCCAAATCTCATGTCCTTCTCACATTTAAAAACCAATCACGCCTTCCCAATAGTCCCCCAAAGTCTTAACTAATTCCAGCGTTAACTCAAAAGTCTGAGTCCAAAGTCTCATCTGAGACAAGACAAGTCCCTCCCACCTACGAGCCTGTTAAATAAAAAATAAGTTTGTTACTTTCAATATACAATAGGGGCTACAGGCATTGGGTAAATTATCCCATTGAAAAAGGGAGAAATTGGTCAAAACAAAGGGGCTACAGGCCCCAGGCAAGTCCAAAACCCAATAGGGTAGTCATTAAATCTTAAAGCTCTGAAATAATCTCCTTTGACTCCATGTCTCACATCCAGGGCATGCTGATGTAAAGGGTGGGCTCTCAAGGCCTCAAGCAACTCCATCCCTGTGGCTCTGCAGAGTACAGCCCCCGCGGCTGCTTTCATGAGCTGGTGTTGAGTACCTGTGGCTTTCCCAGGCACATGGTGCAAGCTGTCAGTGGATCTCCATTCTGGGGTCTCCATTCTGTGGCCCTCTTCTCATAGGCCCAAGGGGGGCTCTGTGTGGGGGCTCCAACCCCACATTTCCCCTTTTCACTGCCTTAATAGAGGTTGTCCATGAAGGCTCTGCCCCTGTAGCAGACTTCTGCCTGGACATTCAGGCATTTCCATACGTCCTTTGAAATCTAGGAAGAGGTTCCCAAAGCTCACCTATTGTTTTCTGTGCACCTGCAGGCCCAACACCACGTGGAAGCCTCCAAGGCTTGGGGCTTGCACCCTCTGAAGCAATGACCTGACTTGTACCTTGGCCCCTTTTAGCCACAGCTGGGGCTAGGGCAGCTGAGATGCAGAACACCATGTCCTGAGGCTGTACAAAGCAGCAGGGCCCTGGGCCCAGCCCACGAAACCATTTTTTCCTCCTCAGCTTCTGGTCCTGTAATGGGAGGGGCTACTGTGAAGGTCTCTGATGTGCCCTGGAGATATTTTCCACATTGTCTTGGCTATTAACATTCGGCTCCTCTTATGCAAATTTCTGCAGCTGACTTGAATTTCTCCCCAGAAAATGGGCTTTTCTTTTCTACCACATGGTCAGGCTGCAAATTTTCCAAACATTTTATGCTCTGCTTCCCTTTTCAACATAAGTTCCAATTTTAGACCATCTCTTTGTAAATACATATGACTATATGCTGTTAGGAGTAGCCAGGCCACATCTTGAAAGCTTTGCTGCTTAGAAATTTCTTTCACCAAATGCCCTAAATCATCTCTTTCAAATTCAAAGTTCCACAGATCCCTAGAGCAGGGGAACAATGCCACCAGTTTCCTTGCTAAAGCATAACAAGAATGACCTTTGCTCCAGTTCCCAGAAATTTCCTCATCTCCATCTGAGACCATCTCAGCCTTGACTTCATTGTCCATATCACTATCAGCATTTTGGTCACAACTATTCAACAAGTCTCTAGGAAGTTCCGAACTTTCCCATATCTTCCTATCTTCTTCTGAGCCCTCCATATTGTTCCAACTTCTGCCTGTTACCCAGTTCCAAAGTTGTTTCCACATTTTCAGGTATCTTTATAGCAATGCCCCACTCCCAGTACCAATTTTCTGTATTAGTCTGTTTTCACACTGCTATAAAGAACTTCCTAAGACTGGATCATTTATGAAGAAAAGAGGTCTAATTGACCTACAGTTCTGCAGGCTTAACAGGAAGCATGATTGAGAGGCCTCAGGAAACTTGGAATCATGGCGGAAGGTGAAGGGGAAGCAAGCATGTCTTACCATGGTGGAGCAGGAAAGAGAGAGAGAAGGTGGAGGTGCCACACACTTTTAAACAATCAGATCTTGTGAGAACTCACTCACTATCATGAGAACAGCAAGGGGGAAATCTACCCCATGATCCAGTCACCTCCCACCAGGCCCTTCCCCCGAAATATGGGGATTATTTATTTAGTTCTTTGATTTCTTTAATCAGAGGTTTGTCATTTTCCTCATATAGATCTGGTAATATTTTGTTAGATTTATACCTAAGTACATCATTTTTAGGGGTGCTAATGTAAATGATACTGTGTTTGTTTTAAATTTCAAATTCTACTTGTTCATTGCTGATATATAGGAAAGTAACTTGATTTTTATATACTAACCTTGTATCTTGCAACCTTGCTATAATTGCTTATTAGTTCCAATAGGTTTTTTTCATCTCTTCTTTTGGATTTTCTACATATACTTTTATGTCATCTGTGAACAGTTTTATTTCTTCCTTCCTGATCTGTATATCTTTTGTCTCCTTTCCTTGACTTCCTTCCTTAGCTAGGACTTCCAGTATGATATTGAAAAGGAATGGTAAGAGGGGACATCTTGCCTTGTTCAAGACATTCCTTTTTATTCCTAACTTGCTAATAATTTTAGAATATATGTGCATTGAATTTTATCAAATGCTCTTTCTAAGTCTATTGAGGTTATCATAATTAAGCTATATAGCTTAACTACTTCAATTTGTATATGTAGTGAGTCAAATTTACAGACTTTACTAATGTCAAATACTTCTTACATTCTTGGGATCCACCCAACTTGGATATAATTTGTTCTCTTTTCTATACATCACTCAATTCAAAATTTTTTGTCTTTATTTATGAGTGATATTTGCCTGTGGTTCTCCTACTTTTATTATCTGATTTTGATATTGGGGTTTTATTGGTCTTATGGAGTGAGTTTGGGAGTATCCCTTTTTTTTTCTATTCCTTGAAGAATTTGTATAAGATTAGAATGATATGTTCTTTGAACATTTGGTAAACTTGCCTATAAAACTATCTTTGTGGAAAGATTTTAAACTACTGATCCAATTACTTTAATTGGCATAGAACTGTTAATGCTTTCTATTTCTTGGGAAGTTAGCCTGCCCCTACCAAGGAATTTGTCCATTTTGTATATGCTTTCAAATTTATTGCCATAAAACCAGTCATAGTGTTCTCTTATTTTTTAATCTTCACTGGATCTGTAGTTATGTTTCTCGTTTTATTCCTAATATTATTCCTTTTTTTGTGCCTTCTTTTTTAAAAAAAATTATTTCATCGGAGGTTTGTCTACTAGTCTTTTCAAGAACTAATTCCTGTCTTTTTGGTTCTATTTTATCTTCGTTTCTATGACATTAATTTCTGCTTTTATCTTTATTATCTCCTTCCTTTTACATTTTGTTTATTTTGCTGTCCCTTTTGTAATTTCTGAAATGGATCTCCTAGCACATTAATTTTCAGCCTTTTTTTCTAGCATAAACATTTGCAAAATAAATTTCCCTTTTAATGCCACTTTTACTGCATCTCAGAATTTTTGATGTGTAGTGTTGGCATTATAGTTCAGTTGCAATAAATTGTAAATAAGTATTGTAAATACCCATTATAATGTTTTGATTGATGCAGTGGGCCTTTAATTTTCCAAACATAGGAACATTTTTTGCCTTTATGTGATTGACTTCTAATTTAATTTTACTGTAATTGGAGAACATTATTTATATGATATTGGTCTTGTATATGGCAGTTTTTTGTAAATGTTGCATATGTACTTGAGAAAAATGTGCATATTCTGTTTTTGTTCAGTAGATCAAAAATCTTGTGTTATTCAAATTTTCTGTAATTTTATTATTTTTTTCTTTGTTTAATGTGTTAGTAATTGAAAGAAAGGTGTTGAAATTTACCACCAAGGTGGTAGGCTTTGCATTGCTAATATTATTATTAGGTTTCACTGCAACATGATTAGGTTTCTATAAAATGAAAACTTTTATTATTAGATAATCAATCTATCCCTAATAATGTTTTTGGTTTAAGTTCTATTTTATCTAATATTAATGTGGCTATACCAGCCTTGTTTTGAATAGTAATTGTATGGTATATCTTTTTCTACCCCTTAAACTTTTTTCTTATGTTTTAGGTATGTTTTTCCTTATGTTTAGATGTGTTTATTGTAATTAGCAAAAGGGAGGTTAATTTATTTTATGTCTTTAGTTCATGCTGACATGTTCTGTTTTAATTAGAATTTAGTCCATTTTCAATTTTAGTGATTACTAATGCATTTGGACATATTTCTGATATCTTACATTTTGCTTTCTACTTTGCTTTTTCCTATGCTTCCTTTTTTGCTTCCATGTTTTGGCTTAGTTTTGTTGTTGTTGCCGTTATTGTCTTTTATTTTGCTTTTTAGATTGATTAAAAAGCAAAATAAAATTGATTAATTCCTTTCTCTTAATGATTACCTATGAATTCTTAACCTAAAAGAGTCTGACATTAATACCTTAACTCCCTCCCCAACAATACAAGAACCTTAGGGCACTGCCTCTTAATCATTTCATCCAAACCTACATGCTTTTGTTGTACAGTGTTCTAGTTCTGGCCTTTCTTCAACCCCGTGCATTAGAGGGCATTACCATTTTATAAAACAGTGTGCGTTTAGCTCTACTTACATGTTTGTGAATTTATTTGCACATCATTAGTTTTTATACATTTTATACCTTTCTTCTGGGATCATCTTCCTTCTTCCTGAAGCTTATTCTTTAGAAATTCTTTGAGTAAGGTGCTCTTTCTTTCGTCCTCATTTTGAAAGATAGATAGAAGATGCCCACTTCTAGGTTGACAGTTATTTTCTTTCGGTGCTTTGAAAATATTATAACGTTGCCTCTGGCAATGGATTTTGTTTTGTTGTAGAGAAAACTGTCAGTCTCCGTCATTCTTTTATGGGTGTCTGTGTTTCCTGTCTATTGCTTTTAAGTTCTTCTACTTCTGTGATAGTCTGAATTTTCACTATTCTGTGAGTAAATGTGGATTTCTTTTATTTTTTTCCTCCTTGCAGCTCTGGAAAACTCCAAGCTGTTATCTCTTCAGATACTGCTTCCTGTCTATGCTGTCTTCTTTTTGAGACTTTGATTAAAGGTAGATTAGCCTTCTTATTCTGGCTGCTATATTTCTTATTTTCTAGCTGCTTGTCTTTCTGATCTGAAATCTGTGAAATTTCTTCAGTTCTTTCTTCTGGCTTACCTGTGTTTAATCTGCTGTTTGACTCATTTCAGTCAACATTTTTGAAAAATTAAAAATGTTTAAACAAAATTTTCAACAATTACATTTTTAATTTCTGGAAATTCTGTTGGTTCCTTTTCAAATCTGATTGGTGGTTTTGGACAGTCTCGTTACTTGCTAATGTTTTGTGATTGTGCCCTTTCACTCCTTACACATTTCACCCCTGTTAGTATATACTCCAAGTCTGATCATTTTAGCATTTGGAATCCTTGGAAGGTCCAGCGTTGTGGTTCATTGCTTCTGCAGAGCCTCCCTCTTCTTGCCTCATGTGTTTGGTCACCTTTGAGCATGAGACCACATGGCCAGGGTTTGTCTCTGGACACACTGGAGGCCTGAGTTGAGTACCTGCCCTTGGGGGAACCCCACCTTTCAGCCTAGTTCTGGCCTGGGATTTCTACTTCTGTTTCTCCCGTCCTCTGAGATTGTCCTTACCTCCTATAACCCAAGCAATGTGACAGAAGCTATATTTTATGCATAATCTGATTATTTTGCAGCAGAATGGCCCAGAAGCACAACCTCCGTTTCCTCATCTGTGAAATAGTCACCAATGATAGCTACTCTACACGTCATTGTAAAAATCATAGGAAATAATGTATGGCAGAGCACTGTAAAGTGTTATTTGAAGAATAACTACTAGATGATGATCTTTCACGGTGCTGAGTGCTTTGCATGCATCATTTCATTCGTGTCTCCCGCAGATCTGGCTCTGTCATCACCTCCATTGACAAATGAGGAAATCGAGGTTTCTAGTGGTTAAGATTCTTCTTTATCATCATTGTTCTAATAGTGTTGATACGGTTGGAGGAGGAAGATGAAATGAGAATATCTGGAGGTGTACCAGCACCTAAGGGGATGGGATGCCTGCCCCCGGGGCAGTGTGGTGCGATGTGGAGTGTGGGCTGGGACTCAGCTGAGAGGGTGGGGTTGCAGCTCTGACAGGCTCTTGCGAGGTGATGTTGAGCCAGTTCGGCTGTGGTCTGGGGTGCTAGTCTTTTAGGAGCAGGTGGGTGAGCTGTGGGTGTGGGAGTGCATTTCCACATGTCATGAGTCACCATGGAGGTGACCCTCGTTGTTTTCCCTGGTTGGGCTGCACTTCTCTGACATCTCAGTTTCATTCTGTGTCTCATCTCTGCACGGTGAAAATCTTGGTGTCCTGTTTCCTGTTTGCCACTCAGCTCCTTGAAAGCAGGCGCTGACTCTTACCTTTCTCCATGATCGTGCAGGAACCTCATCTGTAGCATCTTTGTAAGAAGAGATGGTCTGGCCTCTGCTCATTCATCTCTGGGAAGCTCACCCCTTCCCTCACTGTGGTGTTCTGGCATCATCCCAAATTCAGACGCCCTGTTGCATTGCCCCCTTAACCGTGCATGCACTTATTCCTGGCAGACAGATCACTGGTTTGGTGAAGATGGTCTCTGTAACCCCATCTGCCCCCAGGTCCTCTTTTCATGGGTAACATGGGAAGACGTTGAAACCGAGCTGCGCTGGGTTCACACTGTGGGTTCACCACTTGCTGGCTCTGTGGACAAATGAGCCTGTCTCACCACCTCTGAGACGGGAATAGTGAAGCCAGCCTCCCGAGGGTGTGGAGAGATTCATATGCTCTAGGTGCGTGGTGAGGGGGGAGTTCCTTGCAGTTTCTCTGGACACCCTCTGGACCTGCCCTGTTTGCCGGCATGTTTTCCCCAACCAGAGCACCTTGGCTCCCATGGGCCAAAGCTTCCTTGGCTTCACACCTCGGGATGACTCTCCATGAACTGCTGGGCCCACTGGCTCTTCGACCTCTGCCAAACCCAGCATGTTCTGAGCTTCCTGAGTGAGTGCAGCCAGCCCCCACCCCAGGCCAGTGCTCTGGATTTTGTATGGCCAGGGAGCAGCTGCCAGTCCAGCTGTTTACCTTGGGAACCTGGTCTCTTCTCCGGCAGTGTTTGCCAGCCACAGAGCGAGGGCAGATTTATGAACTGAGTTACACAGAAATTATTTAAGGCCCTGGTCCGCCAACAATAATGTAAAGACATACAGTGCCTGTTTGAAAAAAGATTGCCCACACTTTGGTCTGATTTACAGTGTAGGCTGAGGATCCAATTAGCAGTCACAGCAGTCTTTTAGCTGAAACCCAGCGCCTTCCAGGATTATGCAGACTTTCCAGGTCCTGGGCTATGATGAAATTATAGCTGGAGGCTTGTAAAGTCGTGCACTGTTTATAAATGCAATATATTCTTAACTTCCCTGCTGCTTGGCTTCCCTGAATCCTGGAGCTCTCCCACTTACCGTGTAACCTTACACAAGTGGTGTAGCCTCTCTGAGCCTCAATTTCTTCATCTCTGACTTGGCCAGTGGGGTGGAATGGGACTAGGGAAGAGTAGTGGACACTCTGCCTGTGGGAATCAAACAGATGAGTCAATGTCTGTAGAGAAGCCATCCCAATCCCAATGCCTGGCACACAGTAGGGGCTCGGTCCTGGGGGCACACAGTAGGGGCTTGGTCCCGGAGCGCACATTGGAGATCCTGAAGGGAGCGGACATCCAGTGTGGGCCCGGCCTCCTCTCTGGAGCTCTGCCTGGCTGCCTGGCTGTGGGCAGGGCGGGGTGGGATACCAGTGGCAGGGCAGGATGGGGCAGGAAAAAGTGTGGTGTATTGCCCCTTCAGGTGGCAAGGCCTGGGGTACTGAGGTATGGGTGGAGTCCAAGGACTCATCGCCACTGTCGTGGGCCACTTCTGAGGCATCCACTGAGCAGACCATGGCAGAGGTCTTCTTAAAGCACCTACTGTGAGCATGGCTGCCCCAGTGCCTAGAACATTGCGGGACACACGGCCCGCAACAAGTGTTTGCCAAAGGCAGTGCAAAGCCAGTGATGCCAACAGGACCTGGGGTCCACCAGCCAAATAGGGGCCTGTCTTCAGTCTCACCTATAGCCCGCTCTGCCCTCCCGACCACAGCCTCCACTCTCCCTGGAAGGTACGAAGGGTTAACTGGTGGGCACCAGGGGGAAACAGATATTTGCTCCGTGTGTGGACCAGATATCTCCCGACCGGAACTGTCCGTCTGCCAGTGGAACCCCTGCCCTTGCAAACAGGGAGCGAGCTCCTGCCTGACTCGTGAGGCCCAGGTGGGTGTTACTGGGTTGGGCACTCAGTTGCTGGGCAGGGGCAGGCCCAGCAACCCCTAGGGCTCCTTGTCTTCCCTCAGTGCTGGGACAGAGATGAGTCAACACAGCTGCTGCCCCCAGGTCTGGGCAAAGCTGGCTCTTCTTTGTCTGTCTTCGCTGGTGAGCTCTACAGGCCACTCCAGCTTCGTATTGGATTCATTTCTGTATCTTCATCAAGGAGGCAGTCCCTGCCCACAGCAGAGTCCTGGTTAGAAATTCCTTATGTTGTGTGTGTGCTTCATCCTGCTAGGCATGCAGCTGTGGGAGTCTACGGGCCTCTAATCCTGCCTGGGAAGTCAGGGAGCACTTCCCAGAGGAGGAAGCACTTGAGTTGGACCTTGAAGGATAAGTTAGCCAAGGTGGAGAAAGACCATCTAGGAGAGGGAACACTGTGGGCAGAGGTAGGGGGCTGTGTGTGTGTGAGCATATGTGTACAGGTGAGAGACTATGTAGATGACTGTGTGTGTGTGTATATGTGTGATAGAGTGTGTGTATATGACTGGGGGGGATGTAGATGAGTGTGTACCTGACAGTGAGTGTGTGTGGATGAGGGTGAGTGCCTGTGTGTGTCAGAGAGAAACAGAGCTCCCTCCCGTGCATGGCGGGTGGCTGGCTGCAGGGCTGAGGCCAGGGGGTGCAGGGCGTGTGGGGGAGGATGAGCTGCAACAGAGGCTCGCAGGGGCTCAGGACCAGGCTCTGTCCCGCATTGCAGCGGCTGGGCTCGACCCTGAGGGGGAGCAGAGCCGCATGGTGAGTGAGTGATGGGAGGGGCTAGCCAGTGCTGGACATCAGCAGGAGTTCGCCAATCATCATCCCAGCCTGAGGTCGCCTGGCAGGATCAGGGCAGGGGCCGAGCAGGCTCGGAAGGATGGGCACGAGGGCTGAGGGACTGACCACAGTGGAGGGAGGAAGGAGAGGTGAAGGCCAGGACCCAGGATCCTTCCATCTCAGAGTCCAAAACCCCGGGACAGTGCTGGGATTGAACGAGTGGCCCAGTGGGATTGTAGCCTGAGGTCCTCTCTCCAGTCCACCAAGCCAGGAGGCCCTGGTGCCTTCCACTCTTTGCCAGGTCAGGGTCTGAGGAAGGATGAGTGCAGCCAAGAAACACTTGGTCCCTGTCCCCAGAGAAGCCAAAGTCCCCAAAACAGGGTTTATACAAAATGATAGCGGCCACAAAGCCCCCTGCATTCTGAGTTACTGTTTTTAAGAAGTCCCAGGGCTCCAGGGCCCACAAAGCATCCCAGGCCTTTCTCACACTGGGTCTGAGTCTTACCTCTGCTACCACAAACACTCATCAGTTTGGGATTTGTATCTTTCCTGGTTTTTGGTTTCTGGGACAGCACAGGCAAGTCTAGGACTGCTGTCTGCCTTCCAGATGTTTTAACCTTCAGCATCTAGAGCACCACGATCACAGGAGGCAGGTGTTTGCTCGCTAAGCTCTGGTTTGTTTCTGGCCACATCTGAGCAGAGTCTACATGGTCCAGGATAGGTGAGCACAGATCAAGGGTATTCAACACGTGTCGGGGCCTGAATGGAGCAGGGTGAATGGTGCAGGGTAAATGTCCCAGCCAGAGGGGAAGGTGGCATTTATTAATTCATTCATTCACTCACTCAGCTTTTGCTAAAAGCTCCTCTGGGCCAGGCCATGGGCAGGTGCTGGGCACTGTGGCATGAATGGGACACCCTGCTTGACCTTGGGACACCCTGCTTGCCCCAGTCTAGTGGGGAAGCCAGACACTGGAGAAGGGCAGTGGACACATGAGCTGGCCCTGAGAGAGTGAGATCGTTAGGGGGAGGCATGGGAAGAGTGTGAACAAAGGCGCATCATGTTCAAGAATGGCTGGAAGTCTGCTGGGGTGGAGTATAGGGCCCAGGGTGGAAAGCAGCAGAGCAGCGACTGGAAAGGTTGCCCAGGGCAGAGGTTTGAATGCACACAGAGGAACCGGGGCCTTATCTTAGAGATCCATGAAAAGTGACAGTGAGGCCTCCATAGGCCCTCATCGAAAGATCGCTTTGATAGTAAGTGGCAGAGCAGGGGACTAAAGCCCTGGGCTGACTCTCAGCATGACCCTTGGCCTGCCTGGAGAGGTCCTTAAGTTACTCTTCCTGCATCGGGCCCTTTGTGTCCCTCTGTGGCAGCCACCCCACCTGCGTGCTGTTGCACCTCCGAGGGCAGGCTCTTGGTCAC
The DNA here is from genome assembly GCF_000001405.40 of Homo sapiens. Taxonomy (NCBI): domain Eukaryota; kingdom Metazoa; phylum Chordata; class Mammalia; order Primates; family Hominidae; genus Homo; species Homo sapiens. The sequence continues at coordinate 53,558,146 of NC_000001.11, read as the reverse complement.
ATTGTTTGCACGTTGCGTGTGTTTGACAGTGTGCCCTTCCAGCCTGAGGGGCAGTACCCACTGCAGGGCTGGGCACTGCCAGCCCCTCCAGACCTCATCTCTCATCATCCAGAGCCTGCTTCCCGATCTAATTAGTGACTCCACCATCCTGCTTTGATTTGGGGCTCCCCTAATGATGTTTGATTGGCAGCAACTGGAGTCAATCCTAAACTCATGCAAAAGGGAAGATTATTTATGTGTTTTCTGCTTTTCTGTTAACAATGACTTCAGAGGGGCATATGGAATGGATAAAGGATTATTTAGAAATCAGAAATTTTCAAGAGACTGGAAACAACTTGATAAAAACCATTTAGGTACTATAACGTGCTTCATTTAAAAGAAGATATATATTTACCCAGTCTGTCTGATTTTACAGGAAGTGAATTAGGAGAGGTATTCAGAAATGTAATTGGAGTGACAAGATATTTCTTGGTAGCTGCTCAACGACACCATGTGAGCTGCCCTGTGCGTCTGTTTCAAGGCCTACCTGATGAGGTCAGGGGGCCAGGCTCTTCCCCAGCCGGCCTCAGCCACAGGGCATGGCTGCTCTGCATCTGGGTACCTGCTGCTGCCCTTGCCGCCATTTCTACAGACCTCCAAGAGGCTTTCTGGACACTTCCTCACCTCCTTACATCCATCTAGCCAGTCACCAAGGGCTGATGACCCAGTCTCCTAAACCTTCCTCTAGAGGCAGACTGCTTGAGTCAAATCCCAATTGCTATGACTATCTGAGTGACCATGGCCAAGTTGCACAATGCTCCATGCCTCAGTTTCTTTATCTGCAAAATAGGGATTATGATAATAATGCCTACCACTGGAGCTGTCCTGGGGCCTTTATGATACTATGGACAAAGTGTCCAGGATGTTCAGCAAATAAGTCCTGAGTGTGGGTGAATGGACACACTTCATTCCAGTCCCAGCCATGGCTGTGGGCTCATTCTGGTGTTTCGGGAGGTGAGAGGGTCTGGGGATGCTGGCCTGGTGCTGCTTATGTCCCATGCACACACCTTGAAGTATACCTGCACACACATATGCTCACCTGCAGTGTACCTGAACACACTCACACACATACCTGTAGTAAACCTGCACACACACACTCACCTGTAGTACACACGAACACACACATCTGCACACACACACCTGCAGTATGCCTGCACACACACACACATACCTGCAGTACACCTGCACACACACACACATACCTGCAGTACACCTGCACACACACATCTGCATACACACACCTGCAGTATACCTGCACACACACACATGCTGCAGTACACCTGCACACACACACCTGCAGTATACCTGCACACATACACACATACCTGCAGTATGCCTGCACACAAACAAGTATCTGCGCACACACACACCTCCAGTACACCTGCACACAAACATCTGCAGTACACCTGCACACACACACACATACTTACAGTACACCTGCATACACACACATACCTACAGTACACCTGCATACACAAACACATACCTGCAGTACACCTGCACACACACACAAACCTACAGTACACCTGCATACACACACCCCTGCAGTACACCTGCACACACACACACCTGCAGTACACCTGCACACACATCTGCAGTACACCACACACACACCTGCAGTACACCTGCACGCACACACCTGCAGTACACCTGCATACACACACCTGCAGTACACCTGCACACACATACCTACAGTACACCTGCACACACACACACACCTGCAGTACACCTGCACAGACACATCTGCATACACACACCTGCAGTATGCCTGCACACACACACCTGCAGTACACCTGCACACACACACATACCTACAGTACACCTGCACACACACACACCTGCAGTACACCTGCACACACACACACACCTACAGTACACCTGCATACACACACACCTGCAATACACCTGCACACACACACAAACCTACAGTACACCTGCATACACACACACAGCTGCAGTACACCACACACACACACAAACCTACAGTATACCTGCATACACACACACACCTGCAGTACACCTGCACACACAAACCTACAGTATACCTGCATACACACACACACACACACACCTGCAATACACCTGCACACACACACACCTGCAGTATACCTGCACACACACACACCTGCAGTATACCTGCACACACACATACCTGCAGTACACCTGCACACACACCTGCAATACACCGCACACACACACCTGCAGTACACCTGCACACACACACCTGCAGTACACCTGCACACACATACCTACAGTACACCTGCACACACACACACCTGCAGTACACCTGCATACACACACCTGCAGTACACCTGCACACACATACCTACAGTACACCTGCACACACACACCTGCAGTACACCTGCATACACACACACAATTTTTATTTCTTAATTTTTAATTTTTGTACGTACATAGTAGGTGTATATATGGGTTACATGAGCTATTTTGATACAGGCATGTAATGTGTAGTAATCACACCAGGGGAAATGGGGTGTCCATTACCTCAAGCATTTATCCTTTGTGTTACAAACAATCCAAATATGCATTTTGTTTTTGTTTTTGTTTTTGTTTTTTTGAGACAGAGTCTCACTCTATCTCCCAGGCTGGAGTGTAGTGGCGCGATCTTGGCTCACCGTAACCTCTGCCTCCCGGGTTCAGGTGATTCTCCTGCCTCAGCCTCCCGAGTAGCTGGGACTGCAGGCGCCCACCACCGCGCCCAGCTAATTTTTTGTATTTTTAGTACTGACAGAGTTTCACTGTGTTAGCCAGGATGGTCTCGATCTCCTGACCTCGTGATCCGCCCGCCTCGGCCTCCCAAAGTGCTAGGCAATTATGCTCTTATAGTGGTCTCTTAAAAGCATGAGCTGATGGTGGCACATCTCTCTCAGCAGCCTTCAGAGCCACAAACAAGGTATAAGAGAATTTCCAGAACCAGAGTGGCCTGATAGGTTGCTTTACAGGTAAGGGAGCGGCGATGTCGCCTGAGTGGGGAGATGGGTTACCCGTCTTTAGATCTGAGAGTGCATGGGGTTCTTTCTGAAACATGCCAGTCCCGTGGGTCCCTGAGCCTAGGGAAGCTGCCCAGGTCTGCCCAGGGAGACAGTTTTGGGGTTTCCAGGGACCTGCCAGTCCCCCTCAGATACCCAAGTGCCCTGCCCTACCTGTGAGGCCCTTTCCTTTCTGTGCCCCAGAGAATGGCTCCACACCTCACACGCCCTGATGGAGCTTAGGAGGAGGACAGTGTCCTTCAGAAGTGGCCTCAGCAGGGACAGGGGGTGTGTCGAGGGCAGGGCAGCTGTTCTGAGCCCCACAGTGGCTCTCAGGGGAATGTGCCCCAGCCTGTCAGACCCGGCTGTGGGGGCCCAATGATGGGCACGTTCCAGGTCAGGCTTGGTGGGGCCTGTGTTGCTGTCCCTGCTGTGACCCCCATCCACACCACACCCTTCTCCAGTGCCCTGTTGCCCTGGGGGGGCAATATGGACTCAGGGCTCCAACCTGAGTCCATATTGGTTAGCACTGATGAGCCTCCGGACTAGTCCTGTAGTGCCCTACTTGAGTCAAATCCTGGCTCCTCCTCAGATGTGCTGTGTGACTTCAGGCATGCCACTTCCTTTCTCTGAGCTTTGGTTCTAATTTTATAAGCTAACCTATGTGAATAGCCGGGCACTGTGCCTGGCCCCAACTGCCTGCCATGACCTCAGTTACCACACATCACCCCCTAGGGCTGTGGTGGGGTTGGTGGGGCCATCTGGATACCCTGAAGGAAGGACTTGGATTCAGGCTGTCTCTACTCGTGACTCATTGTGTGACCTCACATGGTCGTCCTGCCTCTCTGTGCCTCTGTCCCCTCCTCTGTCAAGAGGAGGTTGTCATGAGTGCCCTGTCTCCGTTGTTTGGGGGATGCTTAGATGAGAGAGCAGATGGGAAAGTCCCTTGAGGGCCAGGTGACAGAAGGGGCTGTGGTCAGGAGTAATGGGTGCCATCTTGTGGCCTCATGGCTGCAGGATGGCATTCTCTGCACTGAGAGGTGGCCCTGGCGAGGGGCCTGGAGCCAGAGTTTAGGGAGGCCTAGTGTCCTCTTCTCCATTTAGGGACACCCAGGAGGCTGTTGAGGCTGACACTGCTCCATCTTAGGGAGCCCTGTCCCCCAGAACCTCCAGACAAATCCTCCCGCTGGTCAGCAAGGCACACTGTCTGAGCTGCAGCACCCCCACCTCTCCAGAGCCCCTGGCCATCCTCCACCTGCCCGTTCTGCTCCAGCCACACAGGCCTCCTTGCTCTGTCTCTTTTCCCACCACAAGGCCTTTACATGGACTATTCCCTTTATCCAAAATTCTCCGTCCCTAAAGCTTAGGGGTAGCTCCTGAGAAGGATGAGAATCCTTGATTTCTCTGCTTGAATGCCAGCTCTTCAGAGAGGCCTTCCCTGACCACCTGCAAGTCGCAAAGGCCCCTCCCCACCAGTACTCCCTGCCATACCACAAGGTCAGGCGTTTTTTCCTATTGCACTTAGACGGTCTGACATTGTCTTACTCATTTGCTTACTTGGTTGCTGTCTGTGTCAACCCACCGGCAGGTGAGCTGTGCAAGCACCAAGACCACATGTGTCTTGCTCACCACTGTGTCACCAGCAGCTAGAATGATGCTTAGCTTCTTGGAGGCATTTGAGAAATAGTTTATGGATGGTGGATGGGTGGGTGGATGGGTCCTGGTGGTATGGATAGGTGGATGAATGGATGAATGGAGAATAGGTAAAGCTTTTTTTTTTCTCATGAGGGAGAGCAGCTCTCAGCAGGTATGCGAACCAAGACTGGGTGCACCTGGGCAGGGCACCATGGAGTGGATTCCTGTGCTGGGGAAGCTTGGATGGAATAACCCCACAAACTTCTCCAGCCCCGAGGCTGCGCTTTCCAGGTTTATCCTGGTTTTGAAGCACAATGTGTGCTCGCCAAGGCTGATGGGGATGGGGTTCATCTACATCTTCCGGACGAGCCATTCTCAGCCAGCCAGGTGGGACAGGGGTATCTTTAGAAAGGCAAGGAAGGCTGGTGATCCCAGCCAGAGCTGAAACATCAGCTATGCACCTGACACAGTTAGTCCTGCCACCAGCTGATTCCTGGAGCACGTGAGTAATTCCTGTGCCTCTAACTCCATCTCCTCATTGGTCAGATGGAGATAGCTCCACTTGCTGCCTCCCAGGGTTGCTAAATGTTTAAATGGGCTGATTTCATGGGAGTCTCCTTTTCTGTCACTGAGGTAGTTAGTCTCTGCCTGCCCAACTCCCTCTTCCAGGGCCGATGACAAAAATAAAAACAGAAGAACTCTCAGAGAGATTGTCTCATGTGGGGCTGCCAGCCCGTGGTCCAGCTGGATCCTCCTCTGGCCCCTCAGCCTCTAAGTGGGATGGAGGAGCCCTGGGGAGCCATCTGTGGGCACGAGCCGATTCAGCTGGGAGGATGGATGGTGGAGGGCAAGTGTTTCTATTAGGCCACGGGAATGTTTGCTTTTCTTCTCCAAGAACTGGTTGTGGTCATGTAAATCACCCCAGAGGAAAACCAGAGGGTCCCCAAATGCATCTGTTGGTTTTTATTTAAAAAGACAAAGACAACAATCTTTGTGGTTGGCTTAAAAGTATTTTCATCATCAATGAGCAGGGGAAGAATAAACCCCTGGGGCAGGCAGGAATGTGGGAAGGGAGACCTGAGAAGGAAGGCCTGGCGGGAGCTGGCTGTCTGCCTGCCACCTGGGCCATGCTGTGTAGAGCTGGCCCAGGCACAGGAGCAGCGGGGGGCCTTGTGAGGGCTCTCAGGGACCCGCCTGGTCCCCCTCCTACCGGGACACACTTTCCACCTATAGCAGCTTAGGGTTGGGGTGTGTGGTGAGGCCTGGGAGCTGGTAGGGGAGAGGCTAGGGGACTTGCATCTTTGGGCTTTGGCGGGGCTTCTGTGACAGTCAGTGTGTGTGTGGTTGAATGTATCTGGGCATGTGTTAAGCTTTGGGGGTGATTAGAGGGAGTGGGTATGTGTGTTTATGTGACTGGATCTGGGGGATGCTGTTTGCAGTATGTTGGGATGTGTATGGTTGCAGAGTTTGTTTGGGGGTGTGATTGGGGAGTGTTTGGTTGGGAAGTTTTCTGGTTGGGTGCAAGAGTGTGGGTGGGTGAATATGGAGTGCTTCTGCAGTTAGGTACATGTATGTCGAAGTGTGGAGAAGGAGTATATGGCAGAGACAGACATATACACAGGAGGAGGGATGGGTTTGTGCAGAGGCCCAGAGGCAGGAACCACCGGGTACATCCAGGGAAGGCGGTGGGCACAGAGGGCAGAGGAGAGCAGGGTTTGAGCCCTGACACAGGGGCCTTGAATGGCAGGCAGAGGGAGGGCAGAGGTGGGAGCAGGCTAGACTACAGAGCTCACAATTGGGAGTGCCCTCACCGGGGAGGGACTGCCAGCATGCTCTGCAGAGCACTCTGAGGGGCCCTGAGAAAGGCAGCCCCTTCGCGGGGCTTCTTGTTGGTTCCCCAGGACTCTAAGCCCCAGGGCTCTAAGCAACCGACCTGACGTTTTCCCAGAAGCCCAAGGAGGCATCAGGACAGAGGTGGTTACCCTGTTTGGTGAGAGGAAGGGAGTGGTCTGAGACCCACAGTTCTGCAGAGGCTGAGGGACCCCCCTTGCCCTGCAATTATCCCTCCTCTGCATAAGGCCTCCATCCCGGGCATGGGTGCAGGGTGCAGATGGGCCACCACAGTTTCCAGGCCTCACAACAACCCTGAGAGGCAGGTGTTTTAAATTTCTTTGTATAAATGTGGCATAATCATATGTTAGAAATTTGGCAAACCAGAAAAAGAGAACAGAGGACTTCAAACCACCGTGGCGGGATGTTTTCCTTTGGCTCCTCTCTTAGCACAATGCCGGGCACATAGTGAGGGCTCAACACGGGGGATCCTTTAAAAAATCACTGGCCGGGCGCAGTGGCTCACGCCTGTAATCCCAGCACCTTGGGAGGCCAAGGTGGGCGGATTACCTGAGGTCAGGAGTTCAAAACCGGCCTAACATGGTGAAACCCCATCTCTACTAAAAATATAAATATTAGCCAGGTGTGTTGGCGGGCGCCTGTAATCCCAGCTACTTGGAAGGCTGAGGCAGGAGAATCACTTGAACCCGGGAGGCAGAGGTTGCAGTGAGCCGAGATCGCGCCATTGCACTCCAGCCTGGGCACAGAGCAAGACTCTGTCTCAAAAAAAATAAATAAATAAAAATAAAAATTGCTGGGATTTTGGAGTGGGGAGCGTCTGAACCTGTCACCCCTCGTCTTGGATGAAGCACCTCACTTCTCTGTGCCTCATGTTCCCTGTGGAGTTGTTGAGAGGACTGTTAATATTCATGTTGGTGGTTTTAGCATTATGACTAAGAAATCTGCCATTGCGCCATGGTACTTGATAATTGTGGTTTCACAGCAGTATGGTCATCCAGTGTGGGGACTGTGGCACTGTTCACTCAGCTTTTCCCCGACTGTGGGACTTATCTTCCGCCACTCATAGTTCATAATGCCAATATTTTATCATCTTCTTGCATAAAACTAGTCTGACCTCCAGCCTCAGCCTTGGGTAGGAGCCCAGAATGGAGATGTCAAAGGGCAGTTTGAACCTAACTCAGTGTGAGTGTGTGTTCGCTCTACGCACTGTCATGTCTAACCCTCCCAGCCCTGGGGCAAGCCTCCCCCAGAGGCCTCTGTTCCCAGCAGCCCTACCTTCTTCCAGCCCAGGCCTACTGCAGAGCAAGGCCAGGGATGCTCACTTGCTAATGTGTTAATGGGGGCTGAGCTGCTTCTGGTGCTGACATCATCGTTCTGAAACATCATCATCTATGATTTGCAGTGGGTCGGTTCCTGAGCCAGTGTCTGGAATCCCTTGTGGAAGGAAATTCCTTTTCCACCCAATTTGAGCATGCATGCCTGTAAGGAAACTGACTTCTTTGCGAATAAAATTGAATACAGGGCTGGCAAAGGAGAGAGAAAATATCATGAGCTGGGCTGAACCTGGTGGCTCTGATGCCTATCAGGGAGTCATGTCCCCATTAAGGGGCCTCTTGCTGCTGCCACCCCATGCCAGCCACAGGGGCACCACTTCCCAGTTGGAGTGCTAGCTCAAGGGTGGGCGTGACCTTCCCTAATGCCCCAAGCTTTCATTCTGTGGCCTCCTAGGTGGGTGACCTGAGCAGGGTGCTGCTCTGTGACTCTGTTTGCCCATTGGTAATATGGGGATGATATTAATAACAACCATACCTACCTCATGGCGTTGTGGGAGTTAAAATACTTAATACACATACAAGCACTTGAAATAGGGCCTGGAACATTGGAAGTACCCAAGAAATGTTAGCTGTTGTTGTTTCAGCTCAAAATTGACTTTGCTTTTGCAATTACATATCTGATAAGGGACTTGTACCTAGAATATATTAAGAACTCTTTCAACTTAATAATGAAAAAGATAACATAACTTAAAAATAGGCAAGGAACTTGACCTGACATTTCTCCAAAGAAGAGATACAGATGGCCCAAAGCACATGAAAAGTTGCTCAACATTAGCCAGCAGGAAAATGCAAATCGGAACCACAAGGAGCTACCACTTCACACCCACTAGAAGGGCTAGAATCAAAGAGATGCCAATAACGAGTGTTGACAAGGAGGTGGAGAAAGTGGAACTCTTGTACCCTGATGGGAATGTGCAATTGTGCAGTAGCTTTGGAAAACAGTCTGGCAGTTCCTCAAATGATCAGTGGTTAACATATGATCCATCAATGTCTCTCCTAGGTATAGAGCAAAGAGAAATAAGAACAAATGTCCACAGAAAAGCTTGTACATGAATGTTCACAACAGCATTCATCATAATAGCCAAAGGTGGAAACAACCTAGATGTCCATCAATGGAGGGATGGATAGATAAAATGTGGTATATCCATACAATGGAAAATATTTAGCCATCAAAAAGAGTGAAGTATCGACACATGTGACAGCATGGATGAGCCTTGAAAACATGACGCTAGTGAAAGAAGCCAGTCACTAAAGACCACAGATTGCATGATTCAACTTACGTGATGTGTCAAGAATAGACAAATCTATAGAAATAGAAAGTAGATCAGTGGTTTCTAGGGATTTGGGAGAGGGAGGAATAGGGAGTGCTGTCTGCTAGTAGATACAAGGTTTCTTTCGGGAGTGATAAAAATATTCTAAAATTGATTGTGGTAATGCTTGTACAATGCTGTGAATATACTCCAAATCACTGAATCGTATACTTCAAATGAGTGGATTTTATGATTATGTGAAGTACCTTTCAACAGAGCTATAAAAAAATAACTGACTTTATTGAAGGTTCATGGATGACCACAGGGAAACAGATGCAAGCATAATGTCAGCCAGAAAATCTGGCCCACGCTTGACCTTCCTCTAGGTTTGCCTTCCCAGGGCAGAGGCTGTCTATAACCCTTACCTTGTCAGAGCACCTCAGCAACTTCTGAGCTCCTCCAAGACCTGTCCCAAAGAGCCAGGCCCAGGGTTCTCATCACAGCAAAGGCAGCATGACAAAGTGGTAGAAATGCGAGCAGGGATAACCCTGGTGGCATGGCAGCGTTGTCACGGGATGAGTCGAGGTTGTGGGTATTAGCATAGCTGGAGCAGGCGTCCATGCGTGATATGTGGCCCTTCTCTCGTTCCTGCCCCGAGAGCCCCTGTCCATGGTGGACACGGGAATACCAGCAGTAACATGCTAAAGCCTCACTCAGTGCTGTGTGCAGACCGGGCCTCCCGTTAGAGATGTGCATGCAAGGTTGAAGTCCCGTGTTGGTGTGAAGGGAGGCTCTCAGTACTCACCCACCTGAGCCCCACCTTCAGGTGCCCTGGGGCACACCCTGGATGTGGAGTGCCAGAGCCAGAACGGCCCTGTGAGATCATCTTTGGCCCCCAAGTCCCATGGAGTGCGGCAGCTGGAGGGGAGACATTCAGCCTGCACTCAGCAGAAATGCCCCCCGTGCGAAAACAGCAGCAGAGGATGCGGCCAGCAGGGAGGCGGGAGGGAGAAGCAGGAGGAGTCTGTCCTTGAGTTTTGAAAAATAAATATTTGTAAAAGTTTTATATGCTTATTGCAGAAAACATGTAAAACACAATAAAGCACAGATGAAAAAACCAAGTCCTCCCTGCTGCCCCCTCACAGAGACAGCCACCACTGGGCCGTGTTTGGCTGCTCCTGGCTGCTCCAATAAAATGGAAATCGACTTTATGAACCATATTTCTAATGAGAAATCACTGCCATTCTGTCCTGGTGATCGCTGACAGCCAGGCTTGGCTCAGCAGAGGGGCAGGGAAATAGAATTCGTTAAACCCAGTCTGAGCCTGATTCACCAAGTTTGTATTCCAGAATGTACGGCCATACCAAAAATGATGAAAACCCACTGCGTTGGCCTTCGCAAATATGTTCCCAGGCTTGAGTAGGCCTGTGGGGGCCATCAGAGGGCTTTGGCCATTGGTGACGTTCTGGAGGGGTAGGTGTGCTGGGGGAGCCCTGCCTGGGTCAGGGCCTGGGAAGTGGAGCCTGGCGGAGGTAAGTGACACCTTCCATCCATCAAAGGCAGGAGCCAGCAGTGAGAAGTACAGTAGAGCTCAGGCAGGTTCCGTGCTGACGAGGGGAGATGGAGGTGGCCAGACCAGGGTGCATTGTTGGTCTTGCCACCTTCAGCCCCATTGAGCATGCAGCTCTTGGCTATTGCCCTCTCTCTGGCTGTGAAAAGACAGCCCCGAGGCCAAGGATCAGAGGGCACTGGGCTGGGAGTCTGGAGCCCTGGCTCTCTGTCTCTGTGTCACCACTGACATGTACTGGGCAGCCTTGAGCAGGTCTTTTCGCCTTACCCAGCCCCAGTCTTCCCATCTGCAAAATGGGTAGACGTCCTCTAACATCCCTTTCAACTCAGACCTTCTGGGATTTTAAAAGAAAAGAGCCTTTCTCCTTCCCCAGCGGTGAGGTGAAACAAGGGTGGCTAACCCTGATCGAGCACAGCGTTGCAGTCAGCAAGCATGCCCTGAGCACCTGCTGTATGTCCAGTCCCTTGTTGGGCCCTGGAATAAGAGGCCAGTCAGGACCAGGTCCATTCTGTGTCAGCCTTCCATACCCAGTCAGGGGAAGAAAGAGGCGCAGAGCCCGGCAGTTACAATGCTTGAGTCCAGGGGCTGTGATGGAAGGAAGGGCATGGTGGGGGACCCCAGGGCAGCCTAGTCTTAACAACAGGGAAATCTAGGAAGGCTCCCTGGAAGAGGTGGCTTATGAGCTGAAGCTTGGAGGATGAGCAGGACTCAGCCAGATGAAGTGGCAGGAGAAGAACATTCTGGAAAGAGAATGATGGCCGCAGAAGAGAATGATAGCAGCAGAGGCACCTTGGTGTCGGTTGCATGGAGTGTGCCACCTGTTGCTGGTGTATTGGCACTGCTGGATGGACCCTGTCCCAAGGCCAGATTGACGAGCCCTGCCATCTCTCATCTCATGTAGTCGTTGCAATAAACCTGCAAACAGGGAGTGTTAACCCCGTTTTCCAGAAGACACCTCCAGGACCAGAGAGGCTGAGTAACGTGCCTGAGGACACAGGCGAGTAAGCAGCAGGGCTGGGACTTGAACCTGGTCTTCCTGATCCGAAGCTGCACCCCATCCAGATGGCTCAGGGATGTGTCCCCAGACATTTGGCTGAGGCTGCAGAGATGGTGTTGAGGGAGCACTCGCTCCTCCCCAGTGCCCCATGACTCTTGGCTGCTGCTGCAGAGTGAAATGTCATCCTCGCCCTCCCTGCCAAGGTTTGTGGCGTGGGCTTGCCTCTGGCTCCTCTGCTCTTAGGAGTGAGTCTGCCTGTCACCAGTATCTAATTACACCAGCCCCCTGCCTCCTCAGGCGTCCCTGGCCATCATGTGTGAAACAGGAGCTTGGTGGCGTCACCCTGCGAGGAGGCACCCACATCCTTCAGTGCATCGGTGGGTGGGTCTCACTTCCCTGATGCAGGCACACCACTGTCACCATGAGCTGTATCCCCTGCCCTTCGGCAAGTTGGTCCCCATCCATGTCTTCCTTAATCCTCAGATCCCCTCTGGAAGCCATCGTGTTGTCCCTGTATTCTTATGTGGAAAATGAGTCCAGAGGAAAGCCCTTTGCTCATGTCACGTAGGACAGGAGCCAGCGCATGGACCGGATCTGGCTCCAGATGCAGCAGGGGGCATCCAGGGTCCCGCCCTCTGCAGCGACTCACGCAAGGGCACACGTAGCACTAGGCAAGAAGTCTAGAATTGTGACTAAATCTGTCCATGAAAGTATGACGCTGCCCACTGTAAATTTTTTTAAACTTTAGCAAAACAACATAGTGTAAAATATAAAGCAATAAGTATAATATGTAAAGAAGTAGAAAGTAGAGAGTGAAATGTAAGGAAAAAAGGAAAAGTTATCCCTAACTACACCACTCAGAAATAACCATTGTTTAATATTTTGGAGTATTTTTCCAGGCTGCTCTCTGTGTGTATAATTACACTCTTTACTAAAATGGAATCATACTATACTTACTGTTTAGGTACTTGATTTTTTCACTAACAGCGTATTTTGGGTGTCTGGCTATGAACAGTTAGCTGAGTGAATAAGCGAGTGAGGAAATGAATGAATGGCTGATGAATGACTGAATAAAAGCATGACAGTCTGCCCCATGATGCCGCCGGACAGGTCAGGCTTTGGGGACTCTGCCCAGACTGCCTTCCTGAGGAGCCAGGAGCCTGTGTCTACCCCATCAGGCCCCCTGTCCTTGGGGTCCATGGACCACAGTGTCTCTGCATGGGGTTGCAGGTAGTGTAGACTGTGTTACTGCCGTGTTGATGCTGACTCTCCACAGCCCTGGGAGGGGTGATACTCTACTGTCATTACCTCCCTGGCAATGCAGACAAATTAGGGTATTAGGTGGTTTTCACAGAATTGGAGGGGAATCAGGATTTGAATCCAGGTCTGGATGACTCTTGAGCACTCTGTTTCCCACAATGAGCACACAGGAGCAGGAAGAGCCTGCCCTAAGGATCCAGGGGCCTGCAAAAAGCTGGTGGCAGGGGAAGCCTTGGGGAGCCTTGCCCTCTCTGGGCTGCCTTGGTGTCCCCACCCACAACATGAGGTCCTTGGAGGTTTGGCCAGTACTGACATTGTGTGAGGCTTGGGTTCCCACGCAGCCCAGCCCAGCCATTTGCATTTACCCCTGGGCTAGGGTGAACCCAGAGAGGCTTTGGGCCCAGGACCTGCCCCAAAGCCCAGAACCTCACAAAGAAACCAGTGTTGGAGCTGAGCCTGACTTGAGGGAATTCCAGGCTGAGGGAACAGCATATATAAAAACACATAGATATGAAGTTCTGATGGCCCAAGTGGTCAGTGTAACAGGAACCTGGAGAGGGACCAGGGAGCTTGGGGAGCCAGCTACAGCTGGAGGGTCCCCAGAGGTCAGTCGGCGAGATGCTGGAAGTGCTGGGCTGAGGGTGGTATCCTGAAGGCAGTGGAGCCACCCATAGGGTTTGGGAGTGGCAAGGAGAGGCTTGCAATTTAGGGGTCTCCCTGCTGCAGGAGAGATGATGGATCTGGGAGCAACGGCCAGCCTAGAGGTGGGGGGCCAGGGAAGAGAGTGGCAGGATGCACATGTACCTGGTGCTGCCCTGGCAAGTGAGCTGCCCGAAGGCCTCACTGTGCCCCGGGGGCCGGACTGCACCCTGGCTCCCAACCTTCCCCTTCTCCCATCTCCAGCAGAGTTGCGGGCTCCTCTCTTAGTCCTCAGCCCTATTGGCAACCCCGGGCTCCTGACTGGGCCCAAGTGCAATGCAGTGATCTATTTTCTGTAAATTATTGGTGCCCAGGTCATAGCCGAGCGGTTCAGCACAATGGCATCCTTTTCTTTTTGTCCTCCTTAATTTTAGAAGCCAAAGCTAAATGTTTTAATTTTATATTATTCCTGACATAATGCTAATGAGTTCCAGGCGTCCCTCTGAGTCGGGTGGCGCAGCTCTGCTGAGCCAGGCATCTGGGCTGGGCTGCGCGCCCCAGAACGGCTCCTCCCGCCACCCCTTGGTTCTCCATGGAGCTCCTCACAGCGTGCTTCTCCTCAGGGGCCCCTTCCTGCTCTCCCGTGTGGATGTAACTTTTCTCAGTGACACGGTCCTCTCTTGCAAGTGGTGGCCACGGGGTGTTTCTCCCTTGCCCAATAAGAGGGAAGGCTCATGTGAGAGCCGGATGGCCTGCCTGGCCGGCAGATGACCACTTCCCTCTCAGACCCCTGGGACATCCGAGATGCAGGTGAGGGGTGGGTCACCTCCCCCACACCCTTCCAGAACTTTCCAACCTGTTCTGAGCCGAACAGCTGGCGATTTGGGGTTTTAAGAGAGACCAGTGCGCTTACTGCAGTGGCTGTTGTTGCTAGCATTATTTTCTGTTGACATGGAAACATTTAGTCCTTTGTTTGTAGTCATTTCTTCCCCTTGGGCTAGTGTTTCCTAAATCAATAGACCACTCTGCTTTTGACTTAATGCAACATAAGCACAGGGGCCAGGGGTTTGCTATCAGACAGCCCTGGGCTCATTCCTCAACCCTGGCTCCATTCCCACTGCTGCTCTCACTCCTCAGGGGCCCTGGGCTCAGGCCCTCTGGGAGCCTCTGTCTCCTCATCTAGGAAAGGCGATTACGGTGGCACCTTCTGTCTAGAGCACTCCGGAGGTTAAACAAGGCAGTCCGCCGAAAGAGTAGCATGGCCTGACTTGAGGGCGCCCATCAGCGGCAGTTTTCCTCGCTTTTCCCGTGTCCACGTCCCCATGAGGGAGGACCACTTCCCCGTGAGGGAGGACTGCTAGTGCTCTCTGTTTCACTTATGTCAGGTCCAAACCTGAAGTCCACAAACTGGAGTGAGAAAGAGAAAAAAAATGTAACTTTAAATGTTCCTTTCACTCCCTTCCTATCCTGAGCCCCCACATGCTGGGTAGCAAATCTCTGGCAGTTCACAGATCACTGCCCATCTTCTCTCATAGTTGCATGCAAATTCTGGGTTTTGGGGGGCTTACACTGAACCAAGGGGCCCGTAGAGTCATTTATCACATTGACACCTGCTGAACCATCCTGCCCCATCTTTGGCCAGAATCTACTTGTCCCTGTCCATCTAAAGGCTGCCTCAGGGCCAGCCCAGACTCAGTGTCTTCTCCATAGTGCGGGGAGGGGACCTCCCTGAGACAGCCAGAGTCCTGCCTGGATGCCCCAGGTAGCCTGGGCCTTGCTGGGAGCAGCCCTGCTTCAGGTCCCACAGACCTATCTAGTGGTGCTGTCAGCACCCCCAGGGCGTAGCCCCAGGGGTGAAGGGGCAGAGCTCAGGACCTCGCAGCTTTTAGGGACCCATGCCATGTACATGCGTCTGGCTTCCCTCCAATGTCCCTGTCCCAGCTGGAGCATCGTTTGAGGGTGGAAGTACAGGAAGCTTTGCTCTTTCCTCATCACAAGGTCTCTCCCAGCCCCCAACTAATTTGGGAGGTGACTGCTGAGCAGCCAGCCATCTCCCCACCCGCCCCACACTTCCCTCAAGGCTCATTTGTTTGTTGCTTGGTTCTTTCATTCATTAACAGATGTTCACGAACACCCGCTCTGTGCCAGCCCCTGTGCTGGGCACTCTCCGATGGGTTTATGGCGGAAACATCATTTGAAATATTAACTGCCTGTGACTCATCCGTGTCCAGAGTTCTTTCCATTCGGCCCTGCGGCCTGGGATTTTGAAACCCAAAAGCCAGGAATTTGCTCCTGTCTGCTCTGCTTTCTGCTAAGTCATCTCCTTCCCCCCGGCGCTTGAGTGGAGGTGCAGTGCTATTCCACACGGACCCCTTTGACAGATGAAAACCGAGGCCCATCAGGGAAGGGGATATCCTCAGGGTTCCTGGCCCAGGGGGCTCCTCTGGCTGAGTCTGCTGGGCACCTGCTTATAACCAGATGTCACTGTGGACAGTGGGGCATTTGGGGAGGAGGCAGTGGCTCCCAACTGCTGAGAAGCTGAGTGAGCCCTTGAACAGAGGCCTCTGAGCCAAGGCTGTGGCCCTCCCCCTTCCTTAGCTTTGGTGAGTGATCACCCAGGTGCCATCATCACTGGCCACAGGAGGAGCTGTGGATTACAGACCTGTGCACCAGGCACCTTCCTCACCAAACTCCCCCAGCTGCAGGATGAACGGACCGAGCCTCAGACCCCCAGACAGTTTCCTTCACCACCTGGTGCCTCAGTTTACCCATCTCAAAAGCAGCAACTCCGTCCTGCCTCTCACAGGGCTGCTGTGATGCCAGGGAAGAGAAGGGCTTTGCAGATGGAGGCACTTGGCCACCGGATGGGTTTGCCTCTGTCTGTTCCCAGCTTCTCCTTCCCTCCCTGGTTGGTTTCCTTTGGTTTGTGTGTGTGTGACTGGTTTCCCACTGCAATTCACCTCCCTTCCCTAACTTGAGTGCGTGTGCAGGGCTGATGTCCTGGGTCTAGGCCATCACTGTTTTTATCCATCTACCTTTACTAAGTGCCCACTGTGAGTCCAGGCACTGGGCTGGATCAGTGCAGGAGGGTGTGATGTGGGCCACTAGGCCTCATGCACATATGGCCGTGAGATGCCAGCACAGGGCCAGCCCACCTTGGGGCCTCTTGGTCAATCATGTGGGTGGCTGGGTGGGTGTGGGGAGGACCAAGGCAGGTTAGCCTGGCCTATTGATACCACTGGCCCCAGGTGGCAGGCCAGACCAATTTAAAACTGTGGGCTGTCCCCTAAAGGAGATCTCCTGAAGGTAACCTTAGGAACTATTTGCACCCTCTGAGCAGCCCTGATGAGTACACATCATCCGGCTCTGTCCCTGAGCGTCTGGGACGGGAGGCTCACCATTTCTCCCGGTAGAGCTTATCCTGCTACTAAGCAGAGTCCTCTTGGTGGCCTCCCACCCCCAACTCTCTCAGGTCACTGTGGCTCCAGGAGCTACACACCAGTGGATCTTCCCAGCCCAGCTCCCACCCCCACACTCTTCACTGGCCTGGTGCTGAACACTGCCCCCTCGCAAGATGGAGGTCTCAGGCCTCACGGGACATTTCTGGTGGGATCTGAGCCTCAGGTGCACACTGGCAGGTTCTTTCCACCCACTCAAGACAGGGAGCTTTGCCTGTGGTACGTGTGTGATAATTCTGGTGACCTGACACTGGGTTTTCTTTCAGGCAGTGGGTGGAGAATCTCTGGCCTCCGCCCTCCCCAGGCAGCCCCAGATGTATGTTGTACAGTGCTGGGCATGGATGCGTCTGTCACCTGTACCATCGCCCCACTGCCCCATCCTGGGCAGGCGGTCCCTGGTGGGCAGGCAGCTCGGGGTGAAGCTCAGGAAAGGGAGGTGGCTGGGCCGGGGTCACGCAGAGCCAGGGCTGGACTTGGATCTCAGACCCAGGTGTTGCTCACCACCCCTCTCCTGCTATTTCTTCTTGGAACTTGGGAGAGGATCCCAAAAGGGGACTAATGTTACTGAGCACCTGTCCTGTGCCCAGTACCAAGGCCACACCCTGATGTCCACCGCAGGAGGACACCCCATTTGCAAGTAGAACACTGAGGCTCACAGGAAGAGGAGGAAGCACCTGAGCCCCAGGCCATCCCTGGGGGAGGGAGACCCCTGCTGAGGCCGTGGGGCGAGTTTGTTTGCAGAGAGGGTTGAGGCTGGAGGCCTGGAGAGACCGTTTTATTCACTGTGGCCCTCTTCTTCCTCCTGAAGCAGCGCTCACAGCCTCACCCCCAGGGCTTATGGTGAGGCACTGCACCACCTAAAAAGAATCCCCCAGCAAATGGGAACATGCTCCTCTCCGCTTGGCTGTGTGGGCGGGGCAGGCTGTGCGAGGCTCACCGCTGGGGTCTTATGTCTGCCTCTCTCCCTCCCAGGGCCGAGCTCTGAGAGGAGTGTGTGATGCTTGAATGGTAGGAGAGTGGTAAGGGACCGGCAGTCCTGGCCGCAGCATCGGGATGACAGTGAGAGAACTGGGAAGGCCTCAGGCTTGAGCCAAGCCTAGAGTGACAAGGAGGACTGGCCAGTGAACAGGGGCACCTTGAGCAGAGGACACCGCATGGGCAAAGGCGTGGAGGCGGCAATGTGTGGCCTGTGGCTGCAGCGTGGGGAGGGAAGTAGACATTGGGCTAGAGAGGTCAGTGGAGATCTCTCAGGCTATGCATGCTGTCCCCAAGGCCAGGCCAGGCCAGCCACCACTCAGAGGTCAGGAGGCGCAGTGGACCCAGCCCCTCAGTGAACCCCACACGCACATCCATGTTCCAGGTGGCCAGTTTCCACGTGTGCTGTGCTATGCGTGGGGCAGTGTGTCGGTGTGGCTGGTGGGTGGGGGTTAGTGTGTTTGTGAATGTGGCAGGTCTGGGGCTTGGACGTCTTTGGGTATATGTGTGAACATGTGTGTCCTGGCCTGTGTGTTTTTGTGATATGAGTCATGGGGTGTAAACACAGTTTATGTGTATGATGTGTAGTGTGTGTGGGGGGGTGTATACCGTGTGGTATGTGTGTGTGTGGTGTGGTGTGTGTATGTTGGGGGTGTGGTACGTGTGTGTGGGAGGTATGATGTGTATGTATTGGGGGTGTGCTGTGATGTGTGGTATGGTGTGTGTGTGGGGTGTGCATTCATGTGCTGTGGAGTGTGTGTGTGGTATGATATGTGTGGGTGTGTTATGTGGTATATATGTGGGGATATGGTATGTGTGGGTGAATTGGGGTGTGTGTGTTTAGGTGTAGTGTGTGTGTGTGTGTGTGAGGGAGTTTCTGGGTCTTGGTGTGTGTGTGTGTGTGAATCCATGTGTGTGTGTTGGTGTGTGTTGGGGCTGTCTCCGACGTGTGGCTTGGTTGGAGGGAGAGGTGTTCACATCAGAGTGTGTGAGTGTCCACGTTTCTGGGCCTGTGGCTGGTGGCTTGGTGTACATGTGTCAGCCATTCTATGCTGTGTGCTCTCTGCGGAGCCCTGGCCCCTGGCAGAGCCTCTTTCCTCATTCCAGACGATGTCTAGCCACAGCTCTGCACTGGGAGAGCCCCTGGATCCCACCTGTCCACTTGGGCCCAAGAGAAGCTGACTCAGCCCCTCCTGCACCTCCTACTTTCGGGGGTTCCACATGCCCTGGAAGGGTGACTCTCTTGATCCTTGCTGGCCGGCCACCTTTCCAGGAGATGCCTCAACTGCACTGCTGGGGACAGGAACCCATTTCTTGCCCAGACAGGAACTTTTGCCAGAGAAGAGCCCAGCCCAGAGCTGTCAGTGTGTTCCTGGTGAGGAAGGGTCAGGGTGTCTGCAGCCCCCACCCCCTCAGCCTTGAGATCCTCCTCCCAAGGACAGGCCCACCCGCATGGGCTCCCAGAGGAGGTGTATGGTCCCTCTGTCCTGTTCTCCCTTGCCTCACTGTGTGCCCCCAGCCCTCCCTGGCCTGCCAGCTGCTTATGAAGGCCCAGTGAGCAGATGGTCTTGCCTCTCATGGCAGTGCTCGATCATGGCTACCTGGGACCAGAGTGTGCCCAGGGCACAGACCTCGGCACTGGAGGTGAACCCAGGCTCCATCCCATGAGTGAGCGCTGGGACTCTGGCACTTCACCTAAACTCAGTTTCCACCTCTGTAACAATAGGGGTTGCAGGATTAGTGAGATGGTGTTTAGGGAGAGCTTGGCCCAGTCCTAGGCACATGGTCAATGTGATAGCTGCTGTTCTGCTCAGTCCCCGCACATGCCCCACTTTCCATTCATGTATGCAGGTGGCACTGCATCCCCAAACACCAGACCCTCGAGAGCCTCACGGTCCAAATCAAAGAGCCCGGGTCAGTGCCCTCCAGCCTCACCCCCAGGACCCTCCTCCCGTCTGTCCGTTCCATTCTTGCCTCAACCTCCCCACAGAGGACTGGCGAAGCCCCAAACTCTGAGGAGACCCTCAAGGAGCCCCACGGGGGAGCACAGGACAGTAACCTCAGGCCAGCCAGCGGCCCCTCCCAGAGTGCAGGAGCGAGGAGCGGCCCTCAGTGCCCAGCTTGCTGGCCTTTAAAGCTGGCCAAACGCAGGATTATTTGACATGTTGGAGAAGGAGCTGGCATTGCATTTCTCCCATCCACATCATTGTTGTAAAGTAACTTAAAAGTTCGTACAAAAATGAGAAGTTGATCCCTGAATGGCCTGCCAGACTTTTGTAACCCAATATATTTTACCCTTAAACCAGAAATGTGTTTATTTAGAAGCAAGTCACTGGCAAATGCTAAAACTGAAGGCATTTCCTCCCCTGCCCCCGTGCCATGCCCTGTTCCCCCAAACCTCCTCTTCACTCTGTGTCCAGATTCTTAGTTAGAGCATGAGAAACTGAACCCTGCCTCCTTTTTGGGCCATGCCAGCCGCAGGCAGGAAACTTGACATTCATTAGGCACCAGCTATGTGCCAGTTCCTACACTGGGCATATTCTTTTATTTACTTCTACCAGCCGTTTGTGGTGGCCCCATTTTAGAGAAGAGAAAAACGAGGACAGAAATGAGGCGTGACTAGCCCAGGTTCAGGCTCCCGGTGGTGGATCCCCAGCACAAACCTCTGTTTGCGTGACTTGATTTGCAGCACTTTGGTTTGCGGCATGGTGTCACCAACTCACATGTGAAACAGGGCCCTTGGTTCTTCCCCAGGAGCCAGAGGGAGAGAAGAGCCATCACCTAGTGCCAGCGGCACGCCAGGCACTGTGCTGGGGCTCCCCTGCATGCTCTTAGCCCGTCCACAGATGCATAAAAGGCTCTGAGTGTGGCTTGCTGAGGAAGGTGGACCCACCCTGCAACTTGAACGTCTGAGCCAGCCCCCAGCGGATCTTGGGCTTCAGCCCTCCCCCTCCCCAAGCCAGAGCTTGAGGGGTCCCTGGGCTTGGCCCAGAGGCGAGGATGCCACCCCCTGCCTGGCTCCTGGGATGGCTCCCCTCTGTCTTTCATCTCCTGCCCTCTGCTCTGTGAGCGGCACGCAGCAGTAATGGATTGCAGTGGACATTTTTCAATTAGGTTCTGATTTTCCCCTGCCTGTCACTATAAAACTCCAGATGGTCTGGGGCTTCACGGTTCCCGGGGTATTTTCCCCGTTTTTTTAATCTTCTGCTGTAACACACCCCACATGTGGGAATTGGGCCTTTCAAGGCTGTTCTGTGGATCAGCTGGTACTTTCTTCTCCACTGTGCCACCTGGTTTTCCTTTCTGCATGGAGGCATCCACTGTGGGCATCCTCCCTTCCCAGCGTCAGCTCTGGGGCTGGGCCCAGGCCTGGCCTTGCCCCAGGAATGGAACCTGTGACGCCTGGTTTGAAATGACAGTACTAGCTCCTGAGAGAGAACTTGTCTTTTGGTGCTTTAGGTAGGAGTCCCTGAGGCAGTGGCCAGAGTGGTTAGGGACACATATAGACTCATCAGCCAGACCCAAGGTCAGATTCCTGCTCCGTCACTGACTGGCTGTGTGACCTGGAGCCAGTGACATCACCCTTCTGAGCCTCAGTTTCTTATTCTGCAGAGTGGGCTGGGAAGTAGCTTCCTCAGCGGGGAACGTTGTCTGAATTAAATGAAACACACACAGCACTTGGCCTACGGTAGGTGTCAGAGAAAGTGTCACCCAGTCACTACTGTCATTCTGAATTCACCCCAACTTCATCTTCAAATATGTTTTACTGTTTGTGTATTTTGGGGTAAATAAGAAAAACCTAACCACCTATTCTTACATTTTTCAAGATTGTTATACATGCCTGCTTTTCCTTCTCCCCATCCTGGGTACCCCCTGCCCTCAGTATCACCTTCTCTGTTCCCATGGTGTGGGAGCCCTTCCTTCTAGCCAGATCAGTCTGTTGTGTTTTTGGTTATTTGAGCCAGTGTGTCTCAAATCCACCCTCGACAGAAGGTGCCTGTATCATTCTCTGCATGGACAGATGGCGTCAGAGCGCTGATGCCTCTGCACACAGTGGTTCACAGAGCCCCCACAGTGTGCCCCTTCTTACATCTGAGGTATCTGGTCTCTGACAAGTGAAATGAGCTCACCCTGATTCATCGGGTCGGGAAGCGTGGAGGCCAGCTTTGCACCCAGGCTGATCTGAAGCTGGAATGCATTGGTGTGGGTACGGGGGTTGGAGGGTACAGATGCCACCAAGCCAGCACCAAGGGACCAGATCATGCTGGCCAGAATGCCAGGGTGAGGATCTGTACATGTTGAGGCACTGGGGAACCATGCAGGGTTTGAGCAGGGAGGGACACAGAGCTATGGGCTTAAGTCTTCTTTTCAGATAGCTCGTGGAAATGGGTTGGGAAAGGCAGGAGGGAGGCAGGATGGCACCTGTGCAGTCACCCAGGTAAGTGATGCTGGGGTGTGGATTAGGGCAGTGGGTGGATAAGAAGAGAAGGGGGCAGACCTGGAAGGTGATTACAAGGTGGCATTTCCTGGGCTGGTGACTAGTTGGATGCAGGGCCCAGAGAGGAGGGAACATGTTCCTGGCTCAAGCATCCAGGTAGAAGGTGGGAGGTCAGGGGCCCCATACCCACCCAGCCATCCACCATGAGGGACTGAGAGGCCCCAAGGTGGGCTGGCCATGTGCCAGCAACTCAGGGCCATATGTGCTTGAGGCTTAGGGGCCCATGTCGCACCCTCCTGCACCGGTCCAGCCCAGTGCCTGGACTCACGGTAGGTGCTTAGTAAAGGTAGATGGAAGAAACAGTGACAGCTCAGACCCAGGGCATCAGCCCTGCGTGACCTGGGGTGGTCCAGCCAGCAGAAGTCGCACCAGAGTCCCTCAAGTGAAGAGCCTGTGCCACATCAGTCCTTGCATGGAGTGGCTTCTGTGAAGTCTTTAGAATCAAAAATCCCCAAATTTGCCTGCTGCAGAAGGAACCACTACCCCATGTGTTTGAATGAAGGGAGCCCCCAAAACTCCCATTTCTACTTTCACCTCTCCTCTCCCTGCTTCCCTTCCTTCTCTGCTCAATAGATCCTTAGCTGTTTCCAGAACATATCCCACCTCTTCCAGCCTCCCTGCTTTTGTTCATGCTTTGCCCTCTCCCTGGAATGCTTTTCCTGGCTCTGTGTTTCTAGCCCCTGCCTGGGTGTCAGGGCTGAGCTCCTCTGTGAAGGCTTTTGTAGCTCCCCAGCCTCTGCCAGCCAGAAGCCCCCGGGTCAGCCCCTTCCTAGGGCTCTGAACAAGTTCCAGTGTGTTTGGAGCTATGGGTCTTTGACGCCCTTGGGTCTCAGCTCAGAGCACACTGCCAGGCACACAGAGGGGCAGCTGAGTGAGGCAGGAGGATAAGAACCTGTGTGCTCAAAGAGGAGAGGATGAGTGAGTGACTCGCAGAAGTGCGTGAGTGGAAGGATGGGGGGTGCACAGTAGCAGGGATGGGGTGGGTGGTCAGGTGGGGGTGGAGGGATGGGGTGCACAGCTGGCTTTCAGGCCACAGGGCTTACCTTGTGTTGCAGGCACTTCTTTCTCAGGAGAGATGGCAGTTCTGCCTATGGCATAGCTCAGGCTCAGTGCCCCTGGCACAGGGGGAACAATCTCCCTCTCTGAACCCCCCACATAGAGGCACTCAGCCCTTGCAGTGGGGGTCCAGGGTCTGCTCTGCCAGCCTGTACCCTTGGACACTGGCAGCAGGAAGCAGGTGTCTGTCCAGGACAAATGTACCATAGAGCCTGAGGCGACCGGGATGTCAGGAAGGCCCCGCCCCAGTGGCACTCCCTGTGGTGCAGGCCCCATGGAATCATTACGATGCCCTCGGGTCGTGGTGCCATTACCTGAAGGTAAGTCCTCCCTCCACCTGAGAAACCAAGGTCGAAGCCAGGGACGTGCTAGATGGCTGCATTTCTGGTCTCACAAGCCCCATGCATCCATTCTGCAGCATCTGTGCCCCCACAACCCAATGGTGGGGGTTCCCTCCCTGCAGCCCTCCCAGCCCTACACAGCCTATGGATGGGGGCCCTTCAAGCCACACCCACCCCAAAGGCTACCTCGCACTCATTGGAGGCTGCTCCCGGGACCCAGAGAGCTCCCCCTGGGCTGGGTCTACACCAGGGTCCGTGTGTGTAACCCCTGTGCTGGCTGCACCCTGAGCATCAGCTCCCCATCTGTCAGTGGAGACAGTAATACTTGCCTACTGGGCAGTGAAGAAGATAAGGTGCCACATTTGTGACAGCACCAGGCCCAGCAGAACCAAGCACACAATAGGTGCTGAACTGATGGTCGCTCTCATCCCTCTTTCTGTGCCTCTGTTGTCCCCATCTGTGCAGTTGTTGACTAGGAAGGACCACAGGGACCTTGGCAGCCAGCTGCAGGCAGATCCCATAGGCCCTCAAGGCCCCTGGCGTGTCTGGGATGCTGGTCCTGATGGGGCATGACTCTGGCTCTGCCAGGGGTGCCTGCAGCATCCTCATCCCAGACCAGTCCTGATGGGGCAGTGCCCCTTCGTCTGCTGGTACCTCTGTTTCCACCTGGAGGGACGGGCCACTCTCATCAGGGCATCCCAGCCAGCTGCTCATTATACCCCAGCCTGTGGCTCAGCTCTGGAAAGTTCCAGGGGGCGGGGAGCAGAACAAGGCTGGGCCAACATACATGGGCACAGCACAGGCATCAGGGCACACGCACTTATCGGGGTACCTTTCTGCACACTGGGGTAAGGGGGTGTACTCACAGGGGTGCGTGGACTGCATGCCCAGCAACCCCCATATCATGCTTCTGTCCCACCCTTTGCCCCATGATTGAGATGCCAGCCCTGCTCTCAAGGAACTCTCAAACTCTCAGCCTGGAGGCATGGGGAGAAGGCCATGGCTGTGCAGGGAAAACCTACCCCACAAGCTCATGGGTGTCACAGAGGATGGGGTGGGGAAGTTTGAGGCAGGCTTCTGAGAGAGAGTGCTTAAGCAACAGGAGTAGATGTTTGCTAAAAGAGCAAATAAAGGAAAGGCATTCCAGGCCTAGGGAACAACTGAAGTAAAGGCCTGAGGGCATGGAAATTCCTAACAGAATTCAGGACTGTTCAGACACAGTCTCACTCCTGCAGATCACGCGTGGAGCGTCTGCATGGGAGAGGCAGTTGGGTCCATGTTGGAAGACCATGAACACCAAGCTGCAGATCCTGTGTTTGAAAAACGTATGAATTAGATGGTCAGAGAGTTGGAAGGGAAGGAGTCCCAGGAGGGGGACAGTCCGAATAGAGACAGAGCAACTGTGCTGAGCAGAGGGTTGGCCAAGGCAGGAATACACAGACCTCGGGGAGAAGATGATGTATCGATCATGGTCCACCTTCCAGCACTCTCCCACAGTCAGGAAAATGACGAAGCCTGGAGGAGTTATTGTCCTCTGCTGTAGATACCTCCCTGCCCTGCATGGGCCAGAGGGGAACAAAGGATGCTGAGAGGAAGCCCCACTCTCCAGCCCGGGCTCCCCCATCTCACGTTGGGGTGAACTTGGCACAAGGCCATTGCAGGCGAGCAAGGGAGGTGGCTTGCAGCCTATTTACTGCCCAAACAGGATTTCCTCCTGGTTTGGATGCATGAAAAAGGCACAACATCTGGAAGTAGGAAGCAGAACAGCTTCTAAAACCCAGCTGTGGGTGGCTCGCCTTGGACCCGCCCCAGCAGAGCACGGCCCCAAGTTGTGACTGGGCTTCCAGGGGACAGGCGCAGAGGGAGCTGTCCCGGAACCATCATTGTCTCTCGTGTCTCTTGTGTCTCTCATATCTGTCTGAGCAGCTCTGCCCTGGCCTGTGCTCCATCTGCCACCTCTGCCCTGGATGGGGCGTTGGTGACCCTCCTCTGGAACTGCTACAATTGCCATCTTCCTGTCTCCTCCCCCGGTCCCCACTTGTCACCAGCAGCCAGAGAGGTCTTCCTAGGGCACATATCTGAGCCTGTCCTTTCCCTTCTTTAGGAGAAGTGTCTCCACTTTCCCCAAGGTGGAGTCCAGGCTCACTGGCCCAGCATTTGAGTCCCCGCTATCTGGCCTTTGAGCTCCCTGCAGACTCCTTGCCCAGTAGAGCCCAGCCCACCCCCAGCGTAATGAACCCCACATCAACCACTCAGGGGCCTTCACAGGGAATCTGTGCCTTTTTCATGCTTTGGTGCCTGCCCTTCCTTGGCCTTCAGTGTGCGTCACCCCACTATCTTCTTTGGATCTGTTGGTTGCAGTTCAGGGCTCGGGCAGGGCCAGAGACAGAATGAGGTGAATGCATCAGTGTTGGGGGAATTGCCTGCCTGTGTCTCCACACTGCTACATGTCTGTCTAAGCTCGCTACAGTCATCAAGCCCGTGGAAGCAGCTCGCGGCCCACAGGCTGCCTCAGGCATCTCCTCTGTGTGGCCACAGCCCCTGTGTCTCCCTCTGTGACATCTCAACCACGTCGCTTTATGGTGGTGTGCGTGTGTGCATCTCCCACATGGGCTCTCTACACCTAGAGGGCAGGACCCATGTCTGAGTTCTCTCTGCAGCTTGGCACTCACCGCAGACTGGAGCCAGTCTGTCCCAGTGAACAGCCTCGCACCAGAAATTACTCAATGTGCTGAACAGCCTTGAGCCAAGGCCATGAAAATCAGCCAGGTGGATCACAGGGTCTGAAATGAGCCCACAGTCCTCTCCAGGCACCCAACCAGCTCCTCCCCCTACTCCCCGCAGGTGAGCCCCAGAGAAAGGATGTGAAGAGCAGGCTTTGGGAGCGCCAGTCCTCGGGTAACACGGCTGCTACCAGCTCATCCTTGGCCACCTGCTGCTGGGAGCCCATGCTGGCCCCTGGGTCAGAGGGGCAGGGTCCCATGGGCCCTAATCTGGGTTAGGTGCTCATGGTTGGCTGTTCAGCCCTGGACATGGAGGATGAAATCAATGGCTCATGAGAGGGGGCCAGCCTCCTCTGGTCCCTTCCTCCTCAAGGGTCACCTGCCCTAGGAAGGCAGCAGGCATAGCAGAGCCACCTGGCCTTTGGCATCAGACTTGGCCTGAGTCCTGTCATTGCCATGTCACAGCCCTGTGACCTTGGGCAGGTCACTTGACCACATGGAGCCTCCATCTCTGAGATGGGGACATTAATGCCGTATACTTCACAGCTGTTGTGTGTCCAACACCCAGCACCACACCTGGATGTAGCAGGCGCCCGTCAGCGCTGGTCCCCTCCTCCCACCCTTGCAAGCACATGGCCAGAACATCAGCCTGGCTGGGACAGGGACAGATGGGGAGAAGTCGGAAGGAGCAGCTCATCACACTGAAGGAGGAGAGGCTGCTGCTTCCGCTAGGCAGCATTTGAGCTGACTTTGAAGGCTGAGGGAGGTTGGTGGGTGGCTGTGAGGGCTGAGGGAGGTTGGTGGGTGGCTGTGAAAGAGGGGACACTCCTTGCTGAGTGACTTGAATGAACAAAGGCTGGAAATTGTCTGGCCAACCCCTGATGTTGATCTAGGGCATTGGGTGGGCCTAAAGAGAGGTGTGGAGGGCTGTATATGGTCACAGAGCCACAGGATCTGTGAAGGGCCCTTCAGTTTACAAACGTGGCTCTTGTTTTGACAGCAGTTAGCATCAACTCTGTGCTCCAGACGGACAAACCCCATGACATTCAATGTCCTACCCCCTGGGGCCCTCATGTCAGCCTTGAGTGGTGGCCACACAGTCTCAAGCTTGAAAACAAGGAAACAAGGCGCAGAGGGGTCAAGAGCACTGCCCAAAGCCTCTCTGGGACAGAGCCCAGTTCAGATCCAGGCTGTGGGTCCTTCCCTATTTCAGCTCTCTGTGCTGGGACACACCCCTGCCCTGATTCGGGGCTGTGCTGTGGTCAGGGCAAGTGCCTCGTTTCCAGATGGCCCTGGGGAGGGGAGCCTTTCGGGTCCAGAACTGGAAAGGCCACTTTCTTCTCCAGCCCTCACGCCCTATTTCTAAGTCAGGGTGCTATTTTTCTGGACTCACCAGGCCTTTCCAGATAAGGCCTGGGCCCTGAGCACTTCATGGGGAGCTGATCCAGAGCTCTCAGAGGCTCCAGCAGGATGGGAGGGGCAGGGGTGCTGGGGCCAGGCAGGCCTGGGGGGTTAGTTTCCATGCAGGGTTGGGGTGCCCACCGGGCTGGGAGTTCCCCTCACCAGCCTCTCCTGCAGTTTGAAGGCTGCAGCAAGGCCTTCTCACGGCTGGAGAACCTCAAGATCCACCTGAGGAGCCACACGGGCGAGAAGCCGTACCTGTGCCAGCACCCGGGTTGCCAGAAGGCCTTCAGCAACTCCAGCGACCGCGCCAAGCACCAGCGCACCCACCTAGACACGGTAGGCCCAACAGGCAGAGGCCCAGGGCGGGGTGGAGGATGGCCACACACCTGCCACTCATTCAGTGCAGAGCCCCTGCCTTACCCTGTAGCCCCACCGATGTTTGGGGCAGGAGATGCTTGGCAGGGCAGTGGGTCGGATGGTGTCCTCTGCATTCTAGAATGTTTAGCAGTTATCCCTGGCCTCTCTCCACTAGATAGGAGGCAATGTTCCCACTCCCAGTCGCAACAACCAAAACTCTCTGATGCCAAATGTCCCCGGGGGTGAGGGGAGGCAAACCTGCCCCAGTTAAGAAGCAATGCTTTGGCCTGTGGGTACCAGCCTGGGCACCAGAGCCGTGCACAGCCTCATGGAGAGAGCACATTCGCCTTCCTGTGTCCCCTCCCCAGAACCTGTCAGCCACGCCAGAGCAGATTGCTCCCTGCTCTTCCTGCCCCCTCCGTAGACACAGGTCAGAGGCTCTCCAGGGTGGTCTTTTGTCCGTTGAGCCCTGCAGGTGAGGAGCGGAGGTGGGCAGTGCCTAAGACTCCAGGCTCCTGCAGGTGACCCAGGCCTCCAGATACTGGCTCCCTTCCCACCTTCCTTCCCTTGTTTGCACCAGGCATAGGTAACAGCAGCTTTATTCCAATGTCTGCCCAGGCAGCCCTCCATGTGCCGTTAATAGAGCGCTTTCTAAAACTTCACCCCTCAGGATCTCATACAGACCCTGTGCTCTGGGCAGGGGCAGTCACGAAGCCATTTGACAGATTAGGGAAGTGGGACACCTGAGGCCAGTGCCTGCTCACCATCGCACAGCTGGACGGTGGCAGAGCTGACTCAGACCAGGGCCTTACACTAGGCCCTGGGTGAGGGGCACGTGCCTGAGGAGGACCCCAGCCCCCATGTGCTGCAGGAGACTGGGGTCTGCAGCAGAGCCATGTCCGGGCCCCAGGCTGGTTTCTCTATGCTTCCTGCAGGTGTTTGGGGAACTCTGTGGGTCAGAGGCTGGGGGATTTGGGTGGCTGCCCCCCAGCCCGTCCAGTTCACAGATGAGGAGGAAACAGGGGCCCAGGAGGGCAGCTGACCCCTCCAGGGTAAGTTGGAGGCCATGAGACAGCAGAGGTCAGAGCTGAAAGGGCACTTGCAGGTCTCTGATGCCAGCCATTTACCTTAGAGCCGGGAAAACCGAGATCCAGAAAAGATTCAGTGCCCAGAAAACAGCAGGGAAGCAATGTTCTTGGGGCCAGGCCAGGCCCTGGGGGGGACACTCTGTATATCTGGCCCCACAGTCTCACACACACTGCCCCCAGTTTCATCCTGGTGACCAACCAAGATGGGGCCCATTATCCCCATTTCATAAATTGAGACTCAAAGAGACTGAGTCATCTGCCCTGTCCACAGCAGGTGTGTGGCAGAGCTGGGATGCAAACCTGGGCTGGGCCACTCCAAGTCCAGTGCTCTCTGCTGGAAGAGCTGATGTGGCAGGCATCTTGGGGGATGCAGCAGAGCAGAGGGGTGAGGGTGGCAAGGAAGGGCCCCATCCCCAACCTGAACCCAACAGTCCTCCCCTTCTCAGCTTCATTGTCACAGGCTGTGCTACGGACATGAAGTGAGGAGTGGGTGCTAGCAGATCTCCCTGCCTTTGTCACCTTTTCAGCCCAAGGGGCCCGTGGCACCCTGGCCCAGGTCCTGAGAGGCACGCTCTGTGCCCCAGCACCCCCAGTTATGTCTCCCAGAGGCCACAAGCCAGCGCTGACAGTGCCAGGCCTCCCTGCACCCTCTCCCTACCCTCCCGTGCCTCTCGGGCCACCTTCCCTGACCCTCCTTCTTCCTCCCTCCCTCCTTACTGCATTTCCTGGACCCAGCCCCAAAGCAACAGGCCTCTGGCCCCCACTTGGTGTGTGAACAGAACCCCAAGGTCTAGGTCAGGCCAGGCCCAGAATGAGCCTGCAGGCTTATCTCAGGCCTTCGTCTCCCCAAGAGGTCCCCTGGAAGCCTGGGAAGTGCAGCCGCCAAGCCCAGCACCCCACTCGGATCCAGCTCCCCACATAAACACCGCAGGCAGCTCTGTGTTGCTAGTTTGCTGTCCCAGCACCTGCCCCCAGAGGCCCCTCGGGTCAGGCCCCTCACAGGGCAGGGCCTTGCTTTCCAGAGGGGACCAGCCATGTCCCTAGCTCACCTCTGGCATTGGAGAATGTGGGATTCTCTCCATGGGCGGGAAAGTTTCTCAGAACAGACTGGAGAGGACCAGGCCAGGGTTCTGACCGTGGCCATGCCTCCTGGTCCTGGAGGTCTGAGGAAAGCCCCTGGCCTCCCTGGGCCTCCTGAGAGGTAAAACCCCTGCTTCAGAGAGCGAGGGAGGTCAGCTGAGGCAGCAGGTGTGAGGCCCCGCACATGGACTGGGCGGCCTTCCCCTGCCTGTCCTCTTACTGATTGGGCACTGACCACATCCTGCCGTGTCCCAGGCTCTCAGTGTGGGGCTCGAGTCCTGAGTGCACAGATCCCCTGAGCGGACTCGAATAAGCCGCTGTCCTGCATGGGGCCTCAGCTTCCCCACTGGGATGATTCTCTCTCCCCTGCCCACTTCACTGGACCATTCGAGGCCACCGAGCAGAGGAGGCATTCTAGCAGAGGCCTGCACACGCTCCCTCCCTCTCCCCGCTGTGGGATCTTGGGCAAAATGTAGGTCTCAGTTTCTTCTTCTGCAAAGCAGGATGAGTCTCATGGGGTGGGTGTGGGCTCAGGGAGATGGCGGATGGCTGGTGCTCAGCACGGGGCCTGCACAGGGGAGCGCTCCCAGCAGAGCTGGCCTCCAAGTGCAGACGGGCAGGGGCTCCGCACGGCAGACTCACCCGGAGCGTCCTCATTACAGACAGAGGGAGGCCGCCCGGCGCTGCAGCCCACATGGCCATTCCAGGCGGAGCTTGGCTGCTGGCTGGGGACGGCCACAGGGTTTCCCACAGGCTCACGGGGAATGGGGCCTGAGGAATGTTCTACACATGTCAGGCCCTGGAAAAACAAACACAGAGATGGGCCTTGCCGCCCGTTTCCAGGCGAATGTGCCGGCAGACACAGAGCCAGCTTGTTTGCTTTTAGACGAAAGCGAGTGGATTTGTATCAGCATCCCCAAGGGACAGTCCTGGGGCCGGCTCAGGGACAGGGCAGGGCCGTGTGTGTGCCTGGGCACATGTGAACGCACGTGTGTGTGCCGTGCGTGGGTGTGTATGGTGTGGTGTGTGTGTGTGGTGGTGGTGGTTTTGTGTGTGTGTGTGTGTGTGTGTGTGTATGGTGTGTGAGAGAGGGAGCCTACCTCTGGGGTGCGGTGGGCTGGGGGCAGCAGGGGCCATCCGCGGCAGGCCTCCGCTCTCCCTCCCAGGCCAACCCCGGCAAGCTTCTCACTGCTGTCTCTCTCTTTTTGCTCTCCTCCGTTTCTTTAATCTGGCAACTCTCCATGGCAGCACCAAGGTATGGTCGTCTCTTTCTGCTTCCCCTCCTCATGAGGTCCCAGGGCCATGGGTACCTCTCCCTGGGTCTGAGGTTGGCCTGGCCTCTCCTTAGTCCAGCAGGGGCAAAGCTGCCTTGAGGTCCTGGGGGCAGTTCCACGTGGGTGTGTCTGGCAGGACATGGCAGTCCCTGGCACTCACTCTGAGAGGTGTCATTTCCTCCAATCCTTCTCCTGTCCCCTGCAGTCCCAGCAGGGCAGAGGCTTCTAAGAGAGCGGAAGCACTAGACGTGTCCGCAAAGGGAAGCCTTGTAAGCTTCAAGCCCCAGCAGCGGCCAGAGTCCTCAAGCAGGGTCCTGTGGAAGCCTTGGGAGAGATTGGGATTCAATTAGAGCCACGAGTCCCCTGCCCTGGGTCACTCAGACCTAGGATGAATCAGACAAGTCGCTCCCTGGCTGAGAAGAGGGACACTGAGCAAACCCAGCACATAGGCTGGACAGCGCTTAGGGGGATGTTCTGGCCCGGGGAGGAGGTGGAGGATGCGAGGAGAGCTTGGAGAGGAGGTGACGTGGCTGCGGGAGAGCTGAGGAGGTGCTCGTGGTGGGAGGTGTAGGGCCTGCGGTGCCGGGAGATGGCCTGTAGGGCACCAGGGAGCCACCAAGGGGTTTCAAAGGCAAGAGCGGGTCTGTGAGAAAGACCTTCCCCTCTGGCTGTGTGTGGGGAGCCTGAGGCCTGGAGGGCAGGGTGGGGCCTGGGCAGGAATTCAGGAGGGGCAGTGGGGATGGATTTGGGGTCCACTTCTTATATTCTGGGTGAGCCATGGGGGCCTGAGGGGAAGAGACTTGTCCACTCCCCATGCACAGGGCACAGCCCCCAGCCCCGCCAGACTCCCCAGCCTCCCCAGCCTCCCCAGCCCTGTGTTCTCAGATCCAGCCGTGCTTCCAGCCTCTCACAGCTATTGGCAGGAGGACCTGGTTTCTTGTGGCCCCAAGAGCAGTCCGGTGCCTCTGCACCTACCTGCAAGGTGCGGTCAGTGCCGCCTAGCCTGGCCCTGTGTGGGTGCCCCCTTCCCCTCTCCTCCTCCCCATCTGCAGAGCAGCTGTCTGACTGCACTCCCTGTCTGCTCAATGCTTACTTGCAGCTGTGGGGTCCAAAGGGTGGACTTGGCTCAGAGCCAGGGTCTGACCTGGAAGAACCCTTAGACCTCAGATGGCCCCATTTTTCAGAGAAGAAAGGTGAGACTCAGAGAGGAGAGGCAACTGACCTGAGGTCCCAGGATGGTGGTGGAATGAAGACACAAACCCCTTGCTCCGCTCCCAGGCCAGGCACCTTCCCCACAGCTGGGCCGGGCTGGCTGAGGCAGAGTACTCTTGGCCTGCAGCCAGCCTCTCGCCTGGTCACCTCCCCACAGCAGGTCACGCGGAGGCGCGTGTCCCGTAGGGATGGGCCTCACTCACCCCACCCGTGCCCCCCATGTTACAGAAGCCGTACGCCTGTCAGATCCCTGGCTGCTCCAAGCGCTACACAGACCCCAGCTCCCTCCGCAAGCACGTCAAGGCCCATTCAGCCAAAGAGCAGCAGGTGCGTAAGAAGGTAAGCCAGCCCTCCTCATCTGGCCTCCTCCCACCTCGCAGCCGCCTGCACCGCATCAGGCCAGGTGCCCACCCTCAACACATGCATCTGCCCACCCACTCGCCCTGTATGCCACTGTTCGTCCATCCGTTCGTCCGTTCGTCCGTCCGTCCACTTCCCACCTGCCCTTAGTGTCTCTGCTGACCCGCAGCCCTTCCTTCCACACCCCCAGCTGGCCCTTTACCACCCACAGACTGCCCACCAGCTCCTCGCCCCATGCATCTGTGCACCTCCCGCGGCTTGTGTGGTAAACACATGATGTCCAGCCTTGTGCTGGGCACGGAAGATGCAGAAATGAAAAAGCACGTCCCCGCTTTCAGTGTCCTGGCAGGCGACAGCAGACACAAAGAGATGATTCTACCTCATGTCATTAAGATGGCGAGAGAGATGTGCAGAGAAAAGTCAGGGCACAGATGAGGGGACCTTAGCCCCTCTGGGTGGGAGCAGGAAGGTCTGTGGAGGAAGTGGCGTCAGGCATGGGTGCAGTGTTTAGGGGTGTGAGCGCGGAGTGGGCCCGCGGGGCTTGCTTCCGCTGGCTCTGCACCCAGGCACGTACGTGCCTTTGGGCTTCAGGTTCCTCAGCCATCAGAGGGGACAAAAAAGGACTTGCTTTAGACAGCTGCGGTCAGGAGTAAATGACGGTTTATGCTGAGGGTTTAGAACTGTACCTGGCACAAATTTAAAAGTTCAAAACAGAAATTGGTGTATGTGTTCATTGGTCTTGAGGAAGGACTAAGAGTTGGGCCGGTGAATTCAGAAGAACGCTCCCCAGAGTGACTGGCGCTGAGAGGGCTGAAGCCTGAAGCCCAGTGTGTGCAGGATCAGCGGCCAAGCAGCGCAGTGAGGAGAGGTGGTGTGGGCAGGGCTATGTCCAGGGCACAGTGGGTGCCATCGAGAGGTCTTAAGCAGAGCAGGGACATGGCACCTTGAGAGGTAACCCTGAGGGCCATGTAGAAAATGGGTTGGGGATGCTGTTTTGGACGAGCCGTGTGTGAGTTCCTGAGGGGACTGGGCCATGGCAGGAGGGACAGGACTGCAGCTGGGGGCAGAGCCCACCTGGCTGGGTTAACTCACACCTGCACTCCCATGGAACTCCAGGGCCAGGGAGTGAGGGTCCTTGAGCGCCAGGGAGGGTGTGGGAGTGAAAGAAACACCAGGGGCCAACTCAGGGACACTGGCATGACAGAGGAGGACAGAGTGGGAAGATCGCATTTATTGGTTCAACCAGATTTACAGAGCACCTACTGTATTCCAAGCATTGTTCTGTGAACTGTGGACACTGCCAGGAATGAAACAGCAGAGGCCTGCAGGCTGGAGGAAGCAGCTGCCTCAGGCCCTGGGATAGGGAGACAGCGATGGGGTGCTGGGAGCAAGGGGCCTCAGTGGGAAAGAAGATGGGAGGGGACCGCCAGGCTTGGGAAGTTGGTCTCCAGCCTGCAGGCAGTGGGGAGCATTGGAAGCTGTGGAGCAGAGAGGGACGTGGTCAAATCCTGCGCCATGAGCTTTCTGGTGAAACACCACCTCCATGTTCCCTGAGGAGGGAGGGGATGTGCTTTAGCCCAGGTGCCTCTGAGGCTCAGGCACTGTACCTGGGGCTTCATATCCTGTATCTCATTTAGGCTTCACTATAGCCCTAGCTCGCCAGCTACTCGGAAGGCTGAGGTGGGAGGATCATTTGAGCCCAGGAGTTGGACTGCACACCAGCCTGAGTGACAGAGCAAGACCCTGTCTCAAAAAAAAAAAAAAAAAAAGAAAGAAAAGAAAAGAAAAAGAAACTACAACCGTAGGTGTGGGCACTGTAATTCCCATTTTATTTTATTTTTAGAAACAAAGTCTCACTCTGTCACCCAGGCTGGAATACAGTGGCACGATCATGGCTCATGGCAGCCTCCAACTCCTGGGCTCAAGTGATCCTCCTGCCTCAGCCTCCTGAGTAGCTGGGACTACAGGCATGCTTACTGCTCCTGGCTTTTTTTTAATATATTTTTTTTGTAGAGATAGAGGTTTCACTTTGTTGTCCAGGCTGGTTTCAAACTCCTGACTTCAAGTAATCCTTCCACCTTGGCCTCCCAAAATGTGGGGATTAGAGTCATGAAACACTCATTTTAGAGATGGAGAAACTAAGGCTCAGAGAGTTAACAAACCAGCCCAGCATCATGCACCCCAGAAGTGCCAGAGCCAGGGTCCATCCCAGACCTGTCTGCTTCCAGGGCCTGAGCTCCGTTCACTGCTCTCAGGTTGAGGGCCTGAGTGGGGACAGGGAATGGCCCAGGCTCTAGCAGACTGGAGCTCCACACCAGGGAGGCTTCTGTCCCAAGCGGACCAGTGCCTGAGGACCAGAATCCTGTCCTGGCTTTCCCAGGCCCCATGCTTGGCTCGCACTGAGCCCCCGGGGACTTGGGGCCACAGATCTGCAAACTTCCCAACAATAAGCATCCATTAAGAGCCATCAGGGATGATGTATCTTTCTGGGTAAAGCGACCCTTGTATTATGACAAGTCCTTGGCAGCCCTGCCGCGTTTCAGAGAAAATTAGAAATGCTTTTCTTCCTTAATTCTCCTCTCCTGCTGCTCCTAATCCGATCGACATTGCGGTCTACAAGAACATGCCTTGGCTCTCTTTTGCCAGAAACTTAATTTACATGGAAAACAGCTGCTGGGTCAGGGAGCCAAGAGCCCATCTCGAGGCTGGGCTTGCCTTCTCCAAGCCTGGGCCTGGCCCTGCTGTCTTAGGAGGGCAGAAAAGCCCTCAGGGCTGACTCTCAGCTGCTGTGTGATGTGGGGCAGGGCTCTCACCCTCTCTGGGTCTGTTTTGTCCTGGGGAAGATGAGCATTTGGCTGAGCCAAGCTTTGGGATTTCCCTGAGAGAAGGGGCCCTTCCCAGGTGCCTGCCCCAGTCATCATCCAGTGTCCTGAAGGCCTCACCCTGTTCCCATCCTGGCTCTGGAAGATGTTCTGAGGTGACTGTCTGGGGACAGCCAAGGGTTGTTGGCCAAAGATTTGCTTGGGTTACTGGGTGCACCCCAGCCCAGGCTCACCCTTAGCCAAGGGACCTCAAGTCTATATACTGATCCATCGTGCCCATGATGGGGTGACCAGATGGGGCTCGGCCAGCTGGAGCTCTGCCACCCCTACTACAGCACTTCCAAAGCATGCCCCCAGCCATCGTCACTCTGTGTCATTACTCCTCATGGCAGCCTGGGGTGAGGCGTGACTGTTGCTGCTTATTACAGGCTGGGTAGGCAAGACCCAGAGAGGTTATGTTATTTGTCCAGCATTACACAGGGAGTAAGAAGAGGTAGGATGGGATCCGAGCCCAGCTCTTCATCCCTAGCCCTGAACTATTTCCACTGAACCTTGTACCAAGAAGGAAGAAAGAAAGAGCTGGGTGGGGGGTTGGGGGAGGCTGACGGCACACCTATTGCGCTTTATTCCTACCGCGTCCATTCACCGGTGCGGCTGCACAGAACGCACCTGCAGAACTCAGCTACCCATCGGAGACCACACCTCCCACAGGTTGCTCCCAGCAATGACTGAGTGTGGCAGGCCCAGCAGGGACACTGAGGCAGAGTCTTCCTAGGAGGCACTGGACTCCCTGACATCCAGCAGACATTGGCTGCTGAGGACTCCCTGAGTCCCTGTCCCGGAGGCTCCCGCTTGACCCCTTCTCCCTGCCTCCTTCTCTCAGTCCTTGGGCTCTCCCAGCCCATCTAGTTCACAGATGGCACGTCTCCCATTTAAATCCTTGCATGTTGAATCCCATCTTGGCATCTGCTTCTCAAAGGACCTGGACTAACAACATCTTCACGATGTACACAGTCAGCCCATTTCACAGATGGGGAACTGAGGCACAGTGAAGGGAAGGGTCTTGCCCTGGGGCTGCAGTCCTTTCTGCCCTGTCCCCTAACGTGAGGGTTGCTGGTGGGCAGGGGTCTCACACTAACACCTCCTTTCCCTCTGCTTGCTCCCCAGCTGCATGCGGGCCCTGACACCGAGGCCGACGTCCTGACCGAGTGTCTGGTCCTGCAGCAGCTCCACACGTCCACACAGCTGGCTGCCAGCGACGGCAAGGGTGGCTGTGGCCTGGGCCAGGAGCTGCTCCCAGGTACGTGTGCGGGGAGGCAGGGCCAGGGGCGTAGCCCAGGAGGGGCCTTTCTCTGCCCACAGTCAAGGACAAGTGATGCTCAGTGGGCCGCCCACATGGGCATGACATGTTGCAGGCACTCACTCATCTGGACTTGGTTGCCTCTGCCTCTGGTTCCCTACTTCCAATCCATCTTCTCCCTGCAGCTCGTCTAACTAGGTGGACGTTTCCTTCACATTATTCTGTGGCTCCCCATTGCTCAGGGCATGAAGCCCTCACCCGTCTCAGCCTGGCCTTCAAGGTGTATGGGGCCTGGGTCCTCCTGGCAGCTCTTGCCTCCTCCTTGGCATGTTGGATGCAGTTCCCTGAACACTCTCTGCTCCTGCTCCCCCCGACCCCCGGACACTGTCCACACCCAGCCAGCCCTCTTCTCCTACCCTTCATGACGGTAGCTCCTGCCCTTCCTTCAGGACCCACCTCCTTGTCCCCTCCTCCAGGAAGTCTTCCTCTGGGCTTCGCTCTGCCCCAGTGCTGAGCACTCTGAGCTGTCACTCTACTTCCCATCTGCCCATCTGTCTCCCCCACCAGACTGTGAGTTCCTCAAGGGAGGCTCAGGGTCTGCCTCATTCTGGAGTCACCAGCACCCAGGATGGGGACATGCAGAGCTGGGCTGGGGGAACCCATGGCCCTGCCCCAAGCATCAGCAAGAGAGGCTCTGGTGCCCTTGGTGATGGCCCATGCTGCCAGGATCATCCGCAGGGAGGAACCGTCTTCAAGAAGAGCCCATTCTGCTCCTGGCCTTGACTCCTGCTCCAGAGGAGAAAACTGAGGCTCTGAGAGGATAGGAACTTAGCCCAGATCACTTCCAGCTCATCGCTAAACTCTGTGGCCCAGAGATGGGGCCCCCAGAGCCCCTGGGACTCTGCGGGCCCCTCCAACCAGATGCTAAGGGCCTTTGGTCCAGCTGAGGTGGCTTGTCTGTCCCTCCCAGCAGCCGTGGGCCACGGGGCAGGTCTCAGGCCGCAGCAGGAATTCCTGGCTTTGTGGCTTAGGCATCCAGCCCAGATAAGGGCAGCGTGGCCTTTGGATTCCAGCTGACAGTCCTTGCGCTCTACCCCCGACTCCCCTAAAGAAACCACAGTATCAGAACAGACTTTCTGCCCACCCTCTGGGATTTCTTGAATTACTCCAACCATTTTCAACATTTTTTGTTTTCTAATTTTTTATTCTTTCCCCTCAATGTTGAAGTAGCAACAGATTTAAAAATATATCAAAGCACTTGCCAAACAGCCTCAGGAAGAAAAGCCTTTTAGCCTTTCTCATGGGTCCCCCTTTCCAGGGGTTTGTGCTCAGGCAGGTCCACAAGGGCGAGGACACAGGCGGATGGATGCCTGGGGGAGGGTCTGCACCCTCCTCACGTCTAGCTAGAGGACCCCTCTGTGTGGCTGCTTCTCATAGGGTCAGAATTGCTAAAATGGCAGGGCTGGAAGGGACCGGGGGGCTCATCCAACCCAGGGACGAAGGTATCTCAAGTGCCAGCTCCTAACAAATGGTCATGACAGTGACTACTTGGAGCTCTGTGTCGAGAAGGCCTTGGAAGCTGCTTCCTGATTCAGCCAGAAAGAAAGCTGTTGTGGAGGAGCAGTGCTGCCCCCAGGGCAAAGGTCTTGTACCTACCCCGTCAGTTTTACCTTGGGAAGACTCAGGCCTGGGCAGGAGAAGGAATCACCTAAGGTCATCCAGAGAAGTCAGCAGCCAGTCCAGGCTGCAAGCCTGTTCTCCCAGATGCCGGCCTCAGGCTTGTCCCAGCGAGAAGGGACAGGGCCAGCAGTTACCATCTCTTGAGCACCTGCTTGGGCCACTGACTTCACAAATATCCTCTCGTTCAATCCCCAACTACGCTGTGCAGTAGGATGTGAAACCCATGCTACCGATGAGAAACAGAATCAGCTGAGTCCTCATCATCACAGATTGGAGGAGCCACTCCTGCTGAAGCTACTGCCCTTGTTCTGTGACAATAAGTGGTATCTTCCCTGCTTTGAGCCTCACTTTCCCTCCCAGGCACTGAGGGATCTCATCTGCTGTGAGAACAAATGTGATCATGGATGCGGTCACTTACATAAACCCTATGTGACTGATCATCTTACTGTTATTGTTTATGGTGAGCAAGAAGAATGACTATGTACTCGTCCACCTTACAATCATGCACAGCCAGCACATATTGACTGTGTGCCAGGTGCTGCTCCAGGGACTGTGCGTGGACATCACTGCCATCATCCTCACGTCGGCCTCAGAAGGCACACGCAAGCCACAGCTAGCAGGTGGCAGAGGCAGGATTGGAACCCAGACCATCTGTGCAGGCTGTCTTCTTAACCAGAGCCCGCACCTCCCTGCTGCTAGTGCTGCTCCTCTGCTATACTGAGCACCTGCTGTCTGCCAGGCCCGGTGCTGGCCCTGTCCTCGAGCTGCTTCCAGTGCAGCGGGGAGGGCAGGACCAGGCAGGTGAAGCCCGGGGTCCTGGATCCCCTAGGATCCGGCCTGCTGGGTTCTTCTGCAGGCCGCAGGGCAGATGGCTGAGAAGGGAACAGATGTTAGGGCCAGAGGTTAAGCGCTCACGGCTGATGATTGATGACACAGCTTTACAGCCTGAAGTGGTGCGTTTTGGGGAGAGCCCATCAGGCCCCGTGGCGTCCCCACTTCCGCTGCCCCTCGCAGTCCCATGGTTCCTTCATTCCCATCTGCTGTTCGCTGACATGGTCAGCATCTCTAGTTCACACACTCGGTCACCCACCCTGTGTCCGTCCTTGGTGTGGAGGCTGGACAGGCCGGGACCTGGCCCCGGGGCAGGGGCAAGGGCAGGGGACTGAGTCAGGGAGGATTAGCAGAGTCCAGAACAGAGGGGAGAGGGTGAGGGACGAGCTGCAGAGGGAGACACCAAATTTCCATTGTCCAATTGCAGGATGCTCCCTCAAGTAGGGACCAGTTCTCTTCTGCACAGGAGACCCCCCACCCAACCCCTGGGAGCTTATCTGCCAGGCCCATCCTGAGCAGATCCAGGGTAATGTGATGGGCAGTGAGGACTTGAGAAGCATGAGGTCAGCGTGGCTGAGGAAGAAGGTGCAGGATTGATCAGGATTCTAAGCCTTCCCAGCTGTCAGGCCCCCAAATTGGTTCAAGATGGCAGGCGAAGAGGTGCTAAGGAGAGTAGTGAGTGGCTCAAAGTGTGGGCAGCTCCTCGCCAGGCTCCCTCCACAAACACCGCTTGAGGCACCTTCCCCCAAGCTGGGGAGGTAGGCAGTGGCTGGACAGACAGGTGGTGCTAGGCCTGGGAGCAGAGTCCTAGAGGCAGGGAGCGGTAAGGACGGTGGCCCAGAGCCCCTGGGTCTCACAGCAGCCAGCAGTGATGCCTGCACCAGAGCCGAGGCCTCAGCTGGGTATCCAGACCATCACCTGAGCTGGAGCCACTCCTAGCCCTGGCCTCAAGTGGACTTTCTCTCTCTGCTGCTTGGAAGATGGGCCTGATGAGCCGCCTACTCTGTGACTTTGGACAAGTCATTCAACTTGTTAATATTTAGTTTCCTCATCTTAAAATGGAATATATTATGTTCCCCACTGACACTTGTCAAGCTGGTTAAACTAGATAATGTGGAAAGACAGTGTGGCACATAGTATGTTTTTAATTAATGGTAGTTATTTTGATAGTTGAATCTCACATGATGTAATGTAACGTAGGGTGCTTGCAGCTTTAACTCCAGGCCAGGAGTTGCAAACTGTTTGGCCTCATAGGCAAAGGGGCACTTTTCGGTGGTGGTGGTGGTGGTGCTTTGTTTTTTGTTTTTTGTTTTTTTTTTTGAGATGGAGTCGCCCAGGCTGGAGTGTGGTGGCACCATCTCGGCTCACTGCAACCTCCGCGTTTCGGGTTGAAGCCATTCTCCTGCCTCAGCCTCCCAAGTAGCTGGGATTACAGGTGCATGCCACCACGCCCGACTAATTTTTGTATTTTTGGTAGAGACAGGGTTTCGCCATGTTGGCCAGGCTGGTCTCGAATTCATGGCCTTAAGTAATCCTCCCGCCTCGGCCTCCCAAAGTGCGGGGATTACAGGCTTGTTTTTTTTTTTAACGGTTTCCATGTGAAGGTCTTTCTGGGATGTGTGCTCTCCCCTTTGCCACAGGCCCTGCTGCTCCCCTTGTTAATCCGTGCAGTTTCATTTATTTTGCTCCCCGCCATGCTGCCTGAGGCACTGAGCTTGCCGTCCCTGCCACAGCCCTGCTCGGTTCCCTGCAACAGCCTCCTGAATTGCAGGCCTGGGCCAAAGGGGCCAGCCTGGGATGAGCTAGCCTGGGAACCCCAACCAACTGAGAAGGTAAAAGTTTCCCTTACCCCATCCATGAAAGGAGACTGGTGTGTTCTCAGATTGGTCCTTCTGGTGTAATAAGAGCACTGGTCTGGATCCATGGTAACCAGAGTGCTATTCAGCATGTAACAGCTGCCCTGGTGCACACTGGCCAATCAGAATGGACACCACATCAGTGCAGCCCCAGGATAGCCCCCAGGTCACACAGAGTCCATCAGTGCAGCCCCGGGCTAGCCCCCAGGTCACAAAGAGTCCTCCCAGGGCATCTGCTGGATGCATGGATTTCAGAAAAAATGATGTCAATT
The DNA here is from genome assembly GCF_000001405.40 of Homo sapiens. NCBI lineage: Eukaryota > Metazoa > Chordata > Mammalia > Primates > Hominidae > Homo > Homo sapiens. The sequence continues at coordinate 53,515,994 of NC_000001.11, read as the reverse complement.
GCTATCAAAATAAACATGGCCAGATTGAAAAAGGGATGCAAAACTGGCCACTTCCTAGAGAGATGAGCCCCGGAGAAGCCAGAGCGAGGCTGGAGGAGGCCTGGGCTCCATTCTGGGTGTAATGGCCTGGAATGCAGGGGTCAGGTGCATTCTTTTTTTTTTTTTTTTTTTTTTTTTTAGATAAAATAGGGAACATCAAAAACTTACAACTCTTGCCATGTCTTTCTTAGGCTCCAGTCCCAGAGTAGGAGTTTATTTCCTACTCTGATTAGGGTTTCTTGGTGAAGGCATTTTGGGAGTGCTGGGGTCAGTAACTCCAAACCCTAGTTGGGTCCCTGGAGCAAAGTCTGACTCTGACCTAGTGTCCCCCATTGATTTATTAGCCTCCCTGTCTTAACAAGGGTAAGACTTTCGGGGGTAAAAGGTGATAAAAGGTGGCATCACCCTGCAGGTGTCTTCTGAAGGTTTAGAATCTGAGACTAGAATGAGGCTGACTCCTCTCCTCAGTTGGGACCCTTGTTCAGTGTACCGCCCATGCAACCATCCATGGCAGCCCTTCTCAGAGGTCTCCCAGGCCAGCTGCCACTCAGCTAGTGCAGTCATCTCTCTTTGGAAGCCTTCACAGTGGACACCCCGGCTCTGCTTGCATATCTCTGGGGGAGGTAGTTATTCTGTGCAAGGGCAGCCCATTGCCCTGCAGCAGCACTGCCTGTTAGAAGGCACTGCCGAGCCCTGGGCTGCTGTCTACTCTCAAGCTTCTCTCCATTCCTGGGTCTCTGTCTGCTTCGGGGCCACACAGAACAAGCCTCTTCTTTTCCAGGACAGCATCACAGAGATTTGAGGCAGCCTGCCCTATACATGCCCCCATCTCAGAACACACACACACACACACACACACACACACACACACACACATATACACACACACCCTAAGCACCCCACGCCTCTGACAGCCCCTTGCCAGTCCACCTCTGCTATCAGGGTGAGCCCCAGCCCTGGACACAGCCCTTTAGCCAGGGCCTGCAAGGCTGAACTGAGTGGAGTGGGGCCAGCACCTCCCTCACTGGGGCCCCTAAACTTCCAGTGATACAACGTTGTTCATTTTCCCTCTTGTCTTTATTTCTCCATCATCAGGCACACACAGCTCCTGGGCCATCACAACCATCTCTAGGGAGTGGCCAGAGTCCAGTGAGCCTTGTTTGATTCCCTGCAGGTGTGTATCCTGGCTCCATCACCCCCCATAACGGACTTGCATCGGGCCTCCTGCCCCCAGCGCACGACGTACCTTCCAGGCACCACCCGCTGGATGCCACCACCAGTTCCCACCACCATCTGTCCCCTCTGCCCATGGCTGAGAGCACCCGGGATGGGTATGTACACCAGGCCAGTCCTCCTCCAGGGGCAACAAGGGGGGATCTCGGGGGGAGGCAGGGAGAGCAGGTGTCCCGCACTATCTATCTGCTTGTTACTGATAATGAAAATAGCCAACCTTCAGGGAACACTGACTGCAGACTGCATTCCACACACTTTGTGTGCATGATTCCGTTGGTGCCTGCAGTAACTCTGAGTAGACCGTACTGGCTTCTGAATGCCTCACTTCATGCAGCTTCTTCTCCCCACTGGAGGACCCTGGGAAAATGCTGTGGCCCCTCCCAGCGACCCCTGCATTCTGGGCTGCCACACGCAGAATGGAACCCAGGCCTCCTCGGGGCCTCACTCTGGTGTCTCCTTGCCTCATCTGTGCATTTGGGAGCAGACTGCCCACTGCGCGCACTCCACAGACGCTGGTCTGGGCCCCACGCCCACCTCCAGCCACTGCAGCTGGGGCATTGCCCGGCCTGCGGGGGGCTGCCTGGGAGCCTTTACTTCAGGATCACTGTGGAGAGGGGCAGCCTCTTCCTGCACCCAGTGTGGTTCTCATTGTGGCCACTTAATTGACTGGAAATGGTGAATGTGTTAATTGCTGGACCATGATCTGCCAAAATCTGTTTTTCTTGCAAATGAGCAGAGGGAGGCCTCCCAGCCCCACACTCCTGCCCTCCCTGCTGTTTTTTGCTGATCACCTTGTCCCCGCAGGCCTGGCCCCAGCACCTTCCTCCTTCCCTGCCCTTCCTCCTCCTGGCTACAGCCTTGGCCATGGCCTGCCTGCGCCTGGGGCCAGCCTGGCTTCATCGCCACATTTGTGGCCCACTGCTCCTATTATTACTGGGCTCCTCCTGCCATTCATTCACCCATTCATTCGGTGTTCAATTATGGAGCCCCTGTGGGCAGGCCCTGGGCCCAGTGCTGGTGCCTCGATGACTCTGGCCCTGGAGATGCTTACTGTGAGAGGGAGACCTACCACACAGGGGGCCAGTGGTGTGCGGCAAGGAAGCAGAAGGGCTGTGGAGCCCAGAGGAGAGCCCAGTGGGGTGTGGCTGCCAGGAGGGTGTCAGGGAAGGCTTCCTGGAGGAGGTGAGGCTGGAGTTGGATGAGTGGAGAAGCTGGGAGGAAGGAGTAGCAAGAGTGAAGGTAGGCATGGTGAGAGCTTGGGGTGTTCTGGGAAACATGAGTCATTGTGTGGGGTGACGAACTTGGGAGCGATGTCGCCAGGTCCAGATCCCAAGGCCTGGGATGAGACTCGACCTGAAGAGTGTTGAGCAGTGATGTGGTCAGGTTTGGGGATGAGGACGCAGGGCGGCATTGCAGGGGTGGGGTGGACTGTGGGGCGCTGGACAGACAGCATCCCAAGCCAGGGCCTGGTTCAGGCTGGGGAGGGGGAGCCCGGAAGGCAGTGGTGGCACTGGAGGCAGCGGGAGTAGGAAATCCGAGCTGGGCAGGGAGAGGAGGAGGCCTCAGGGATGAGCTGGGGGTCCAGAGGGGCTGCTGACAGGCAGGGGAAGATTGTGGCTGTGAGTGTGAGCAGAGAACCATGAAGAGGCAGCCTGAAGGGGGTGCAAAGGGGGACCCAGAAAACCGGGCCCTCCTTGAGCCTCAGCTGCTGCTTCTGTGAAAGGCATTATAAGGCCCTCCCTGAGGAAGGTGGTGAGGGCCGTACACACGCCTGACACTGTGTGCCTCACCTGGCACAGGCTCTACTACGATGGTCCCCGCCCCCACCCATAGCTGCTCAGGCCACCTGCTCACCCACCAACCAGCCGAAAAACATCTCCAACCAAAGGAAAATAAACCACGAAGGCCGTTCGCTGCTTGGGCCCGTGCACTCTGCTCCGCCTCATTCATCACCTGCCTGCCGCCTGCATAAGTGCCCGTCAAGAATTCTGCAGTGAGAAGCAGAGTGATGACAAGACGGGACCCCCGCCTGCCCACCCCTGCCTGCGGGTAGGAGCCTCGGGTCCAGCTGCAGGAGAGAAGCGTCCTCGTGCCTGACACCAGGCCCAGGCCCAGCGTGAATGGGTTTCTTTTTTCATCCCCTGAGAAGAGAGTGGGGAAAGGGCCTTCAGCCTCCACTTCCTGCCAAAGTCAACAAGGAACGGCCACTCGTGGCTCCCCAGTGGTTTGCTGGGACGTTTAAATAGCTTGACAGAATTATCTGATTCACTCAAAAATATGCTAAGAGGGCCTGACTTCATGACCAAATTTATTTACCCTGGCTCAGAGAAGACGCCGAATAGGGTATTTTTTTTCCCAGCCTTGTGCGAGGTATGAAGCCCTCAGTCTGCCAGGCTAGTGAGGTTTTATATTAATTTTTATAGGTTCCAGTTGAAGCAAAAATATTTGATTTAGGAATCATTTGCATGACTCAGAGGAGGAGCTCCAGAAGATCTTTTTTGCCTTTTAAAGGGTTCAGGTAGAGCAGCATAGCCTCAGGCGTCATGTCTGCTGTGGAGAGAGTTGTGTTCTGTTTAATTTCACCAGCTGTGAAGGTGGCAAATGTGAATTTATGGTGGAGTGAGACAGGAAAAACAAACTTTTGAAAACACATGTTTTTTCCCCTTCATATCTGGTTCATCTTAATCCTGCAATGCTGTTAATCTCTGGGATTTGCAACTGAGAGATTCAGAAACTCATTTATTAGTGTCATTGGTTTTTCACTGTGTGCCATGCCCAGCGCTGGGCACCGGGTGACCGAGAAGGGCCAAGACCTGGCCCTCCCTACAGGGGCTTCAGGAAACCAGGGGAGGGCTGGGTTGTGGGTGCCCAGATGGGATGGGGATAAGGCAGCCACCACACAGCAGGCCTGCAGGAAGGAGGAGCCACTCTCCGGCCAGGCCCCAGCCCAGCTTCAGCCAGAACTGGTCATGAGAACACACAGCTCGTGCACAGCTGTCCACGGTTTCTAGTGCATAGAGGAAGACGCTGTCCCACTTGATCACCCCACAAGACAGGCCTAAAAATAATGATGATGATAATGATAATTTATTCCTGGAGGTGTGATGAGGATTCGTCTCATGAACTTAAAACAGTGACAGGGACCCACAGTGTATCAGTGGCCGGGCCAGGGACCCAGCACCGAGGCCCTGCTTCCCCTGTCCTCAGCGAGCTCACAGTGACGGGGGCCCCACACGTGTGGATGATGACAGCAGACTGGAGGGGCAGTGGAGGGGCTGCCAACGTTGGAGGGAGCAGAGAGGAACTTGGCACAGCACAGATGCGGAGACCCCAGCCTCTCTCCAAATCTGCTTTCCCCATTTCCAGATAGCCCTGCTTCCTTCAGAGAGGCACTGATCTGTTTGTCAATACTTGGTGTCTCAGAGGGTGGGCAAGGGTCACGAGGTCACCTGGAGCTGTGACATTGAATTCGCTGTATATTTTAATGTGGATGGTCCAACAAGCCACAAATCCAGACAAGAAAATGGGGACTCCGAGCTCTCACTATCTCCCTCTTTCTGCCATGTACATAAATGCTTTACAGGCTGGGAGCCTTCAGCCTTGTCCCCAGAGCCCCCAAGCCATTGATCCCAAAGTCATTTTAGCCCCTGTGAACGGGGCCCAGGGGCTTAGGAAGGTAGCATGAGAAGGGAACCTGGCCTGCAGCATCCTGTGGTCCAGGTAGTGGGCCCTCGGGCTGGGCTGGGCTCAGGGCACCTGTGCTGCTCTCAGCCACTGCAGTCTTGTTTCAGAACATGAGTTTCCAGAGTGCACAGTCTAGAGCCTGCATCCCCCTCAGGCTCTGTATGAAGGCAACTGGTGAGCCCCCATCACAGGAGGTATGCAAGTGGAGGAGAGATGGCCAGGGCTGGAAACGGAAGGTTCCTCAGAGTACACTGTGCAGGAAAAAAATGCCGACTTGGCCATGGGACCGACTTGCTAGTTTTTCTTCCCTTCCTCTTCATAATGATGATGATGATTGATGGAGTGGCTAAGAATGTATTGGACATCACACTTTGTCTATATTGCTTTAATGTCACCCTCACCATAACCCCTGAGATGTTGTGTGGCTGGGAGTAACTTGGGCAAAGCTCTCTGAGCCTTGGTTTTCTGGTCTGTGAAAAGGACACAAGAACACCTGTCTCCCAGGACCTGGGGCAAGTCAGGGGCTCAGTGAATGCTGACTGTGAGTGCCATGGGCTGCTCCAGGGCTCCTCGTCCAGGTGGCCAGAGTGGCATGCACGAGGCAGAGAGCCGGGCACCCAGCAGGTAATGAACACTGCAGCGTGCCCGGTGGTGAGCCAGCAGCCCGTCCAGGAAACCAGGGCTCAGAGACATTGAGCAGCTTGCCCAAAATAGTTGGCCAACGGAGCAATTAGGGGTTTGAACACAGTTCTCTCAGCTGGAAAGGTTGTGCCTCTTACCTGTGTTTCTTGCTGACTATCCTAAATACCAGACTCCAAAGCTTACAGGATTGAAAAGTTTGGCTTGAACATGACCAAAAATAAAAGCTCCTCTTCTAACTATTGTAAGTCGGAGCAGGTCAGCTGGTGAGTGGGCTCCCCGTCGCTGGAGGGGTGTAAGCCGCAGCAGCCCTGCCTCTGGCCCCCACCCTCCAGACCCCTGCCTGCTGATGGGCACCTCTGTTCTCTCCAGGTTGGGGCCCGGCCTCCTCTCACCAATAGTCAGCCCCCTGAAGGGGCTGGGGCCACCGCCGCTGCCCCCATCCTCTCAGAGCCATTCTCCGGGGGGCCAGCCCTTCCCCACACTCCCCAGCAAGCCGTCCTACCCACCCTTCCAGAGCCCTCCACCCCCGCCTCTGCCCAGCCCACAAGGTAAGCTCTGGCCAGGGGCCCGCTCCGTATAACCCCCCAATTCCCACTTAGGGACCCCAGAGGAACGAGGAGACAGTGACCTAGTGGGGGAGGCAGGTACTCAGAGAATGACCGGCTGGGCACTGGGGGCTGAGAGAAGCTAGGAGACAGGGGACATAAGAGGCCCAGCTGAGGGCACAGCCTGGACAAAACTGGTTCTGAGAGTGAGGAAGAGTGTGTTCTGGACAAGGCAGCAAAGGCCCGCTGCCCTGAGGAGAGGCCAGTGAGCGGGATTGAGCGCCTGAGAGTGGAGGGAGTAGGCATCAGCCACGGGTGACTCAGGAGCAGCCACGTGAGACCATCTCAGCCACCCCTCGCCTGCCCTCCCCTCCCTGCAGGGCGGAGCTGAGAATGGGGCCCCAGCCTCCTGCACCTCCTCTGCCCTGGGCCCTCCTCTCTCTCTCACACCCACAATGCCTGGACAGGACAACACGGGAGGTGGAGCGTGCAGCAAGGATGTTCCCCTCCCTGCCCTGGGCACTTCTCCTTTGTGAACGCGGCCCCTGCTACCCCCGTCTGCAGGTTACCAGGGCAGTTTCCACTCCATCCAGAGTTGCTTCCCCTATGGCGACTGCTACCGGATGGCTGAACCAGCAGCCGGTGGGGACGGACTGGTCGGGGAGACCCACGGTTTCAACCCCCTGCGGCCCAATGGCTACCACAGCCTCAGCACGCCCTTGCCTGCCACAGGTGAGCCCTGCCTGCGTGGCTCCCAGTCCTGGGCACCTGCCGAGGCTCAACCCAGTGCTGGGTGCTGCATACGTGCTGTCCTGCAGCCTTTGGATGCTTATGTGGTGGGGCCATCCCCACTTTACAGAGGGGGAAGTAGAGGCTCAGAGAGGTCCCAGGACCCCGCAGAACTGTCTGTACCTGCCTGACTGGAAAGTGCATGCTCCTTGCACAGCTTTGCGAGCCTTATGTGTGTCTGAATGCTGGCAGGTTTCTGAAGAATCGGACTGGGAGCTCATGGTTTAATTACTGCTTCACTTTATTTATTGAGCACCTACTGTGTGCCAGGCATAGCTGCAGACCCTGGGGATATAGCAGGGAATGAACAAATCCTGCTCTCCCTTTGGCAGCACAGGAGATTAGGCGGGGACAGAACCTGGAGGTCATGCTGTTCCTTCCCCACTTAGGTACCTGGTGTTGCCCTGCAGGGCCCTGGGCCTCCCCAGCTCTGCCCCAGGCTTGGCTAGAGAAGCCCAGGGAGAGGGGAGGGTGCCCGCAGCCCAGGTGGAACCAGGCTCCGATCAGCAGGGCAGGCCTAGTCAGAGCAGGGGCATCAGAAGGGAGGGGCTAGACCCTCCCTGAATTCCTCCAGCTGAGACCCACCCTCAAAACAGCCTCGGGGCCCAGGTCTAACAGGAGGTTTCCAGGGCTCCAACAAAGGGGAACCTGAGACCCGCCCCAGAGGCCCTTGGGGCAGCTTTGAGGTAGTGAGCGGGAGGGTGGAGGGACAGGTATATAGGGACAAGCACTGAGGCCTCAGCCGGGCACATACCACCCTGTGGGTCCACGTCCACACACCTGCGCCCGTGCCAGGTGTCTGCGTGTGCCCGTGCTTGCGGGGCTTGCACAGGTGGCTCTGGGCAGCATGCGCCCCGTGAGTGTCAGGAGCTGGCAGGGCTGCACTCTCGTGTCTGCACATGTATTACCCCAGGTGTATGTGGATGTCCGTGAACCCCATCTGTGTGCACATTGTGTCACCCACCCCACGACTCATGGCTGTTTCCACAGACGTGTGCTTGTGTGCACGTGTGCACCTGTGTTTGAGGATTGTGCCCACAGGCCCGTGGGTAAACGTGTGCCGTGTCCACGCGGGATAGACGTGTGTGCATGGCCCCCTGCGTGACATGGGGCTCACATGGAAGACGGGTGCTCTGTGTCTGTGTATACCCGAATTGAGGTGCCCAGCACTGTGGGCTCTCCCCATCTTGTCCTCCCCACCCCCATCCAGCCCACATGGGATTTCTCAGCTGAGCAGCAAGGCTTAGAATGAATAGCTCTGAATGGAGCAGGAGGCAGCTTCCACACCCCACCCCGGCCCTACACCGGCCAGGGGAGGTTCTTTCAGCCTCCCCTCTCCCCAGTGCCCACTCCAGGCCCGCTCAGCTGCCTTTCTGTGCACACCTCCCCGGTCAAGCAAAAATCACACACAGAGCATGAAATCCAGGCTGACAAGCTTCAGGGGCTGCAGGCCTCAGAACAGTTCAGCCCAACCCCACTGCGTAGACTGAGGCTCGCCTGTCTTAGGCCACACAAATGCATGACAGCAGCTCATTGGCAGGCCTTTCGGGCAGGGGCTGGAGAAGATCACCCCTCCCGGCCCCTCCCAAGTCAAGGGCCTCTGAGCGGTGGCCCCACCCTGGAGACAGCATGTCCGGTGGAAGAGCCAGGTATCTCTGAAGCCAGATGGACCTGGGTTCAATCCCAGCTCCACCCCTTACTCACACTGTGACCTTAGGCAAGCATCCTGGCCTCTGTGCCTGCCTTCTCAGCTGTACAATAGGATAGTGAATCCCACCGCAGGGGAGCATTGTGGAGCCGAAGCGAGGCAAGCTGAAATGAGCACTTACTAAGTGCCCAGTAAATGCTGGTGGCCTTCTTTGAGTTTCTTGAGTCTGGTTGGGGGATACAACTGAAAGGGTGGGGGTGAGCTGGTCCTTCTACCAGGAGGGGACCAGCCCCTGAGGGCAAGGGCTGAGCTGCTCCTACCCTGCTCCTCTCTTTCCCCCACATTCTGCCCCACAGCCCAGCCCTGGTGATGGACCTCCCTGAGTCAACCCCGTGCCTGTCTCCCCAGCTGCCCTGGGCCCCCTGGGTGTGCCAGGCCCAGGGTGCCTCCCAAGCCCTCGCCCCACCCCAGCGGCCAGCTCCCCCATTTGGAAAAGTTGGGGGCTCCAAGCAGGCCCCACCGACGGGACACTGTGAGGGGATGACCCTGGGCAGGCGGGGTGGGGCCTGGAACTGGGAAGCATGCGCAGGCACAGCCCCTGCTGCCTCCAGCGCTGACCCTTTCCCAACCACTCACAGGCTATGAGGCCCTGGCTGAGGCCTCATGCCCCACAGCGCTGCCACAGCAGCCATCTGAAGATGTGGTGTCCAGCGGCCCCGAGGACTGTGGCTTCTTCCCCAATGGAGCCTTTGACCACTGCCTGGGCCACATCCCCTCCATCTACACAGACACCTGAAGGAGCCCCCACATGCGCCTGCCCATCCAGCACTGCAGATGCCACCTCGCCCACCTGCTGTCGCTCCCACCCTCCGTGCACCTAGCAGGAGTGCCAGGCCACAGCCGGAACAGCCAGGCCATGACCCAGGGGAGCCAGCGCTGCCACCCCACCCAGCGCTGCCAGGGAGCCGCCATCCGAGCTTGAGCTGGGCGCACAGAGGTGCCCGCCAGGATCTGTGGCCCTGTAACATTCCCTCGATCTTGTCTTCCCGTTCCTCCCCGCAGTGGTTTTGAAATCACAGACCTCGTGTATATAAAATATGCAGAACTTGTTTTCCGTTCCCCTGCCAGTTTTATATTTTTGGTTTTACAAGAAAAAACATTAAAAACTGGAAAGGAGATGTGAAGTCCTCGTTCTGCTTTATGATTCAGCCCAGAGGCTGGGACCGGGAGAGCCTCGGAGGAGGGTGACAGAGCCAGGTGTTCAGGGCTAGGGAGGCTGCGTAGAAACCAGCTCAGGCCCTGGGTTCTGACCACGAGGATGGGAACCAGTGGCACGTGGCCCCCACCATGCGCTATGGTCCTTACAGACACCAGCGCTAGTCCCAGGACTGTGCAGTGAGGTAGGCCCATCCCCATGGACAGGTGGGCAAACTGAGGCTGGGAGGGTGCGGCGACGGGCTTCAGATCCCGGGCCCCACAGTCAGACCACAGTTGGGACCCAGCTCCGTCTGACCTGGGCCTCTACCTGCTACAGCGACTCCTCAGCGGGTGGGAGAACGAGCTTCAAATCTAGTGTCTGGGCTTCTGCAAACAGAGAAAACTGGGAGGGCAGGGCAAGCTTGCTGGGGATGGAGCCCAAACAGCCTCAAAAAGCCAGGGCAAAGGCTGGTCCCTGCAGACAGGCCAGGTGCCAAGAGCAGCCTTTGTCCCAGAAGCCCTGTGCCCACCCTGGAGGACCGAGGCTTGCGTGGGTCTGTCCCCATCTCCCCGTCTCGCTCTCCAGCATCCAGCACGAGGAACAGGCCCATGCTCCAGGCCTGGGCAGGTGACCTGGACGATGGCCAGCATCTCACCGTGTCACACTGATCACCTGCTACAAAGATCCAGGAAAATTCCTGCCTCATCCCCTCTGGAGTGGAACCATGCAAGGGCGGTCATGTTTACCACCCTCCCGGTGCTCCCAGAAACAGCCTAGGGAGGGGTCTTCTTGTCTCCTCTGTAGGTGAGGAGGGGCAGCCGGCATTCACACCCTCACCAAAGGGCCGCCTCTTTGTATTACACGCTGACTTCGGCAGGCAAAACAAGATGAAAGGCCCAGTAACCCCTTTCTTTATAGAGAGGGAGACTGAGGGTCAGAGTGAACACCTAGCCACATAGTGACAGAGCCGTGATGAGCGCCTGGTCCTCCCCATCATCCACGATGCCACTGACACAGCAGTGCCATGCCAGCCTGCAGGGCTTCCCGGGGATCTGCTCTCTGCCTCCTCCCAGGAGCCTGCTGACGAGGTTCTTGCACCCATGTCCTACTTGCCCCCTCCAGACATGCGCTCTGCCTGCTCTGTGTCCAGGGCCCACCTGTGGGGGCTGCATTTAGGGCCGCTGCCCTCTGGCTCCGGGCTGGCTCCAGCCAGTGAGGAGCCCAGCATGGGAGGGAGGTGGGAGGGAAGGTCCCTGGGTGGCTGTGTCTTCCACTGAAGGTCTCGGCCCAGTCCAGTGGCTCTCTCCACACAGCCCACTCCAGACTGGGAGCTGCTCCTCTCCTCCCTCACTCGGCGTGGGGTGGGGCTGGGGAATCACTCAAGACACCCCGGCCCACACCGCAGCATGGTCCCCTCAGGAAACTCCTGACCACCCTGAGCTGAAAAGGACGGTCTTCCCTGCCAAACCCTGCTACTTACTCCCATCCTACAGGCACGGAAACTGAGGGACAGTGCGCCCAGCGCGGTGGCTCACGCCTGTAATCCCAGCACTTTGGGAGGCCAAGGCGGGTGGATCACCTGAGGTCAGGAGTTCAAGAGCAGCCTGGCCAACATGGTGAAACCCTGTCTCTACTAAAAATACAAAAAATTAACCAGGGATGGTGGCGGTCGCCTGTAATCCCAGCCATTCTGGAGGCTGAGGCAGGAGAATGGCATGAACCCGAGAGGCGGAGGTTGCAGTGAGCCGAGATCGCGCCACTGCACTCCAGCCTGGGTGACAGAGCAAGACTCCATCTCAAAAAAAAAAAAAAAAAAAAAAAGAGGGACAGTGAAGTTAAGGAACTTGCCCACGTGACACAGCCTGTGAGTGGTAGAGCTGGGTTCAAACCCGGGCATCGGGCTCCGGAGCCTCCACCTTCACCCTTCAGACTGTCTTGCCCCTTGCAGAATCGGGCGACCTGCTCCCACCACCTCTCAGCCTCTGCCTCCCAGAGTGGCCCAGTCCAATTCTCCAGCAGGGAGGGATCGACCCATTGTCACACAGCACATCGGGCTGCTGCCTGCCACCCAGGGTCCCCTCGCCCCTCATCCCCTCCTCCACTGATTTTATGGAACTAATTAGGCCGAGGCAAAACTCCTTGAACAGGGATGCTGAGGAATCAGTACTGCATGTCACTGTGAACACTTAATCCACTCCAGATAAGCAGCGTGAAGCTCCACCATGAGGACATATTTCTGTTAATAATGAAAGGGGCTGAGCCGCAAGCGGGGAACACACAGGGAGCTGGCAGTTGGATCCCATTTAATTTCAGAGAGCAGAGAGAGGGAGAAAAGGAGACAAAGGCAGAGAAACAAAGAGGCCGAGACAGAGCAGAGACAAGTAGGCCGCAGGGGATGGCAGGGCACGGAGGGGCTCGGGGGTGGGTCCCACTGCTGTGGTGACCGGGATCTGGAAATGCCATTCCTCACTCTTCTGCCTGGGACTCCACTGAGCCCCCGCTCCTCCTGGCACACTCGGGACGCCCTGCCCCGACGCCGGCAGGGTCTCCCTCCTAATCGAAGGCGAAGGCGAGCACTGCAACACCGGTCCCCAGGCAGGACCCCCGGGGGCTGGACCTGAGCTCCCTCCGTAGTGCTATCTTCAGCCCTTATTTTAAAAACACCAAGACCAAAGCCCCTCCCAAGCCCTGATCTGCAGCCCGCAGCACATGGGAGCCTGGCCACTGCCACTGCAGGGCACGGCGATTACCCCCAGACCCACCATTGGCAAGGAGGTGTGACTGTCACTGTCACACAGGGAGGCTAGTGGGGTTAGGTGGAGGGGCTGAGATTTCTCACAGGGCCTAGAGAGCCCCTAGGGGGCCACAAGCCCAGGACCCCACAGGGTCTATAGAGCCAAGGGGCTGAGTCCACCCAGGGGCCCCCGAGTCCAACCCAGGGCATAGGCACAGAGCCCAGGATGGACAGGAGACCATGGCATCCTTCCAGCCCTGCCACTCCAGGCCGCCCCCACAGTCCTGGCCTCTGTCAAGTTCAAGCTAGATTGGCCCAGCACCCCCACCCTGAAGCCTTGGTCTCTCTGTCTCCATCAGGGATCAGGGCCCTCTCTCTCCCTGTCCCGCCCTTCCCTCTCTGTCCCTCCCCACTCCTCTCTCTCTCTCTGTCCCTCCCCACTCTCCTCTCTGTCCCTCCTCCTCCTCTCTCTCTGTCCCTTCCCCCCTCCTCTCTCCCTGTCCCTCCCCGTTTCCTCTCTATCCGCCCCTCTCCCCTCTCTCTCCCTGCCCCCTCCCCTCTCCTGTCTCCCTGCCTCTCCCCGCTCTCCTCTCTCTATCCCTCCCCATCTCCTCTCTCCTTGCCCCTCCCCTCTCTCCCTGCCCCTCCCCTCTCTCCCTGCCCCTCCCCTCTCTCCTCTCTGGTCCCTCCCCCCTCCTCTCTATCTGCCCCTCTCCCCTCTCCTCTCTCCCTGCCCCCTTCCCTCTCCTCTCTCCCTGCCCCTCCCCACTCTCCTCTCTCTGTCCCTCCCCCTCTCATCTCTGCCTGCCCCTCCCGCTCCCCTCTCTGTCTCTCCCCCTCCCCGCTCTATCTGCCTCTCTCCCCTCTCTTCTCTATCTGCCCCCTCCCCTCTCTTCTCTCCCTCTCCCTCCCCCCTCTCCTCTTTCCCTGTCCCTCGCCCTACTCCCTGTCCCTCCCCCTTCTCCTCTCTCCCCATCCCCCTCATCCCTCTCTTCTCTCCCTCTCCCTCCCCCCTCTCCTCTTTCCCTGTCCCTCCCCCTTCTCCTCTCTCCCCATCCCCCTCATCCCTCTCTTCTCTCCCTCTCCCTCCCCCCTCTCCTCTTTCCCTGTCCCTCCCCCTTCTCCTCTCTCCCCATCCCCCTCATCCCTCTCTTCTCTCCCTCTCCTTCCTCCCTCTCCTCTTTCCCTGTCTCTCCCCCTTCTCCTCTCTCCCCATCCCCCTCATCCCTCTCTTCCTGTCCCTCTCCCCCTCCTCTTTCCCTGTCCCTCCCCCGCCTCCTTGTCCCTCTCTTCTCCTCTCTCCCCTGTCCCTCTTCTCCTTCTCTCCTCTGTCCCCCTCTGTCCTCTCTGTCTTCCTTCTCTGACTCCCCCATCCCTACCCACTCCTCTCTGGCTCTTCACCTTCATCCTCCTCTGTCTCCACATTTCCCCTTCCAAGCCCCTTTGTCCCTCCCACCCCAGGCCCCTTGTCCCTCCCACCCCTCCCAAACCCGCCTTCTCCTTCCTCCACCCTTCTAGGGTGGAGGAAGGCTCTGACCCTGCCAGGGTCTCAGGTCTTGGGTATTAGGTCCCCTCCTGCCCTGTGTGTGTGCCCAGGCCAGGTCCCTTCCATGCTGGGCACTGGGATTCACCATCACTGGTCCTGTCCTCTAGGGACTCCCTGTGCTCCTGCTGGCCCTTGGGGACCCCATGAGCTATCAGAGGACCCGGACCATAAGGGCTGAGAGGGCCCACTGAGACCACCAGCCCCACCCCACTCACTGCACAGAAGGGAAGCCCAGGCCCAAGAGACTCTGTTTCTGCCACCCCTTCCAGCCTCTCTCCACGCCCCCTAATCTAGCCGACCGGGGGGTGGTCAGGGGAGTGACCCGGCAGCTTTGGGCCTCGGGAGGCCCCTCTGCTGAGAGGGGACTGCGCTGCTGAGGCCCCTGCTAGAACGTCCGTCCCAGGAGGTCAGGGCCTGAGCTGTCCTCTTCACTGCTGACTGCCCAGCCCCTGGAACAGCACACGGCACACAGCCAGCACCCGGCACACAGCCAGCACACAGTACCTGTTTCTTATACCCATCAGTGGAGCCAGAGAGACAACGAGGAAACAAGGACCTGGCCCCACAGCCCCTCGCCCAGAGCAGGACCACAGCAAACACCCGTCAACGCGGTTGGAGGACACGGGTGTGGAGGGGCATGGGACCTGTCTGAGTTTCAGAGCAGGTGGCAGGCCAGCAGCAGGCAGCAGAGAGCCCAGGCTTCAGGGCCCCATTTGCGCTCTGTCCCCCATCCCTTCAGCCCACCAGAAAAGAATGCTGGGCTCCTAGAGGGCTTGTGCAGCCTGCTGATGACCTTCTGCAAGGCACGGGTTGTGACCTCATTGTACTGAGGAGAGAACTGAGGCTCACAGGGGTGACTTGCCCGAGGTTGGAGAGGGGGCAGAGCGGGGATTCCAGGCAGGTCTGTGGCACCGGCGCCTGCCTGCCCCCCTGCCCATCTGCAGCTAGAGACCAAGACTTGAGTCCTGGGGCGCCGCCTGAGGATTCTTGGCACACGCCCGTCTCACCCGCCCAGAGGGGGCCATTAGGCTTTTACAAGTCCTGATTTATATACTAGCCTAGGCCGGCAGCCCTGCCAGGGATTTATAGGTTTCTAAGTGGTCGCGTCTCTGGGGGAAATGCAAACGTATGTGAAGTGGGAAGGAGCTGCCAGCCCCTCCTTGGCCCCATGCTGCAGTGCCAATGCACGATTTAATCGTGGGCCCCAGGCCTGGGTGCAACAGGATCCTGCAGAAGGGCCATGGGAGGCCGAGGAGACAGACATGCCGCCAGGCAGCCCTGTCCAGGCCACGCCATCCACCAGGCGTGTCCGTGTCCTTTCCGCACAGGAGGGCAGGGAGCCCGGCTCTGGGGTTGGACTTGGGTCTGGTTGCATTAGTTTTAGGGCAGAATAAAGAACCCGGCAGCCCCATGGTTTGGAGGGGGCCGAGGGTGTGGAAACAGCAAGTAGAGATGCCGGCGCTGGAGGCTCGGCCACCAGGGTATTCTCTGGGGCTCCGAGGCTGTTCTCTAGAGCACTTGTGTGGATGTTTGACGTTTTCCAGAAATGAATTCAAGTAGTCCTGGTGCGGCTGGGCTGGGATTTCTCGCGTGCCTGGCAGCTGGGGCAGGCTCCGCTCCTCCAGGATGGGGCCTCCTTGCGGGAGGGTCTGGGGCCTGAGTCCTCTTTACTTCGTGACTGTCTTGTCACAGCAGGGACCACATTGGTGGCCCTGTATCCCCAGTGCCCAGCAGAGGGTCTGGTGCACAGCTGGGATTTAATAATGGCTTCTCTGCATTAATTTGCTGGTGACAAGAGTATGTGCAGAACAAGGGCCAGGACAGGGTGAGCCCGGTTAACCTCATACCCGACAGTGCTGGGGGCACAGGAGACCCGGGGACCCTGGCCCCAACCCCAGAGCTCTGCAGGACACCCTGAGAGAAGAAGGTGACTGTGCTCGGAGACCCTGGGATGACTTTGGGATGAAAAGGAGCCCCCGTCCCTGGGGCAGTGCAAGCAAGATTGGCCAAGAGACTGAAGCAGTCCTGTCACTGGGTCAAGGACCACGCAACTTCTCAGGGCCGCCTTCTCTACCCCTGAGGCAGGGAAGTGAGGGGTGGTTATTATCTACAGGAGGAGAAATCAAGTCCCCAAGGAGAGGCCCGGCCGTGACGGCCCAGCCAGCCCTGCAGGGAGGCCTGAGCCCCTGCCTCACCTGCCTGCATGGTGGCACCCTCAGGAACCAGTCATCTGAGGGCAGCCAAGTCATGGAGGAGGCAGAAACAGGAGCCCAGAGGACCTGTGGGTCCTTTGGGGTCACTTTGCCCCTCAGAGACTGTTTACCCATCTGCACAATGGGCTCCATAAAGCAGAGCGCCCCCCACTGCTGCTGCGCATTGGAAACACCCGGAGTCCCCAAGCTGCACACGCAGATCCCACCTCTGAGCAACAAATTCAGCCTTTCTGAGGGCAGCCGGGTTGCTGTTTGAAGAGCTCCCCGGGGGCTCCAGCACCCAGGAGGGGTGAGGACGCCGCTCACCATGGCCAGCACCGCAGCACTTCATGCACATTAACTGTTAAACCACACAGCCCTGTGGGGAAGGTCCTACTTTCACCCCCATTCTATAGGGAAGCAAAGTAAATTACCCCAGATCACACTGAGCCAGGTTTTGAACTCACGTCCTCTCAACTGCAAAGCCCATGCCCTTGGCCACCCTCTGAGCCCCAGAACTTTGCTGTCCCCAAACTCCTGAGGTGAGAGGCACATGCCAAGTTGAGCTGAGACCCTGGGATTGGAAGTCAGCCTGTTTACAATCTGCCTATACCACTGACTGGAGGAAAGTCGCTTCACACTCTGGGCCTTGGTTTCCCCATCTGTGGAGAGGGAGCTATCCTCTTAGCTCTCCTGGCTTCTGGGGAATAAAAAGCACTAATGGACAGGAGATGGGTTTTGCAAACCATGAAAGGCCATGTGCAGCTGAGCTGGTATTATCACTGGAGCCTGGCACTTCGCCTTCATCTGTGGTTTCCTCTGTGTCAGTGAAACCACAGCCACTAGACGGGGAGCAACTCAAGGTGGGGCCCGGGGTGAGGAGCTGGAGCCTGAGCCCCCAGTGGAGAAGTGAGTGGGGGTCTCCAGCTAGGAAGGAAAGGGTGGGAGGTGGAGAGCAGCCCCAGGGGGCAGTCACTAAGCCCCATGCAGGGCAGAATGCCAGGAACACAGGCTCCACGGGGCCCAGACACCGTCCCTCGCCAAGCAAGACACAGGCTGTGCTGCAGCCATCTCCACGGGGCCTGGGGTTTCCTGGGGGCTCTGTGCCCAGGTGTCCGGAGTGCAACAGGCACACACTGCTCTATTACTGATGGGGAAACTCAGGGTCAGGGAGCTGGTGGCTCTCAAAAGATGGTGAGACCCAGGCTGGGCAAGGTGGCTCACATCTGTAATCCTAGCACTTTGGGAGGCCGAGGAGGGTGGATTGCCTGAGCTCAGGGGTTCGAGACCAGCTTGGGCAACATCTCGAAACCCCATCTACTAAAACTACAAAAAACAATTAGCCGGGCATGGTGGCACATGCCTGTAGTCCCAGCTACTCAGGAGACTGAGGCATGAGAATCGCTTGAACCTGTGAGGGGGAGGTTGCAGTGAGCTGAGATAAAGCCACTGCACTCCAGCCTGGGCAACAGAACAAGACTGTCTAAAAAAAAAAAAAAAAAAAAAAAAAAAGATGGTGAGGCCCAGAGTGTTGACAGCAGGGATTCCAGAGTTCCCAAAATCTGAGTTCCAAAACCCACGCAGCCATGCTCCGACTGGGGTCTTGAGCAGGTCACCTCACTGAATCTGAGGTTCTACTCTGTAAGATGAGACGATGCCTCCTCTATTGGTGGGTGGATCAAATGGGGCGCTAGAGTGAGGGCTTGGTACATAGTAGGTGCTCAGGTGTGAGTATTTTCGTTCGAGGACTGCCCATTTAGATGAGTGCCCTAAGCATTCTCCTCATGATTTGAAATCAAGTTCCATGGTACAAGTGGGGAAACAGTCCCGGGGAGATGGCCTGACTTGCTGGGGACACATGGCCATTTGGTGGTGGGTCTGGTCTCAGGACACCCAGGGCAGTGCTCAAACCACCCCATGCTGTCTTGGGCAGAGGCCTCACTAGTCAGCACATCCCAGCTTGTCTACCCAGGGCCTTGTACCTTGATTCAAATTCTGGCTCTGGAGGCAGGGCGTGGTGGCTCATGCCTGTAATCCCAGCACTTTGGAAGGCCAAGGCAAGTGGATGGCTTGAGCCCAGGAGTTTGAGATAAGCCTGAGCAACATGGTGAAACCCCATCTCTACCAAAAATCCAAAAACTAGCTGGATGTGGTGGTGCATGCCTATAGTCCCAGCTACTCAGGAAGCTGAGGTGAGAGGATCACATGAGCCTGGGAAGTCAAGGCTGCAGTGAGTGAGCTGTGATTGCACCACTGCAATCCAGCCTGAGAGTGGAGACCCTGTCTCATTAAAAAAAAAAAAAAAAAAAAAAAAATTCTGGCTGTGCAGCCTTAGACAAGTCGCATGCCCTCTTTGGGCTTCAGTGTCTTCAACTGAGAAATGGAAAACTATGATGTTGTGTTGAAGAGGACATGAGAAACCAGGAGTGGCAGCATTTGGTGACCTTGGAGAGCCACGGACAGAGTGGGAGAGGGGAAGAAGTCTCCATCTGTCGATTCAGCAGTTGAGCAATTTGTCATACTCCACTGTGTTTTAAGAAGAGTCGGAGGCTGCTCCAGGTCTTCTTACACCCATTCAACAAGGTAGGCTCCTGCAAGCGTGTTTCAGGGCTGAGCACCCAGAAGTGCCCCCAACATGGCCTCCCTTCCCATAGCCTGCAAATCTCTGTCTTTTTTCTTAATTTCTCTCTGTGCACTTAATGTGCTAACGAAATAGTTAATTCCACAGTGCCCTCTTGACAATTGGACATATGTCCAGGAATGGGCATTACTTTTAGCATCTCCCCAAGTAGGTTGATAATTAGGGAGGGAAAATCCTGCTGTTGCCAGAAACAGAGACAGAATGTGACCCTGCCAGCTGATGGGCCTAGGCTGCCCGAAGGCAAAGCCATCACTCCAAGGTCAAGAGACCTTCTACAGTCCATGCTGCCTACCCTCATCCATTGGCCAAGAACCTCCCTTGGTCTCCCCAACTTCCAGGTCTTGCTCATGACAACAGGAATTTTTTTGAGCCCCTCCATGTGCCAACCACTTGACATATGTTAACTCATTCACTCTTTAAACGAGAGAGAGAGAGAGAGAGAGGGAATCTAGGCTCAGAGTGCCAGACCAGGTCTGCAGGGCCCAAAGATTGCTCTCCCTTCTCCTGGAACAAGCTGCCTCTTCGAGTCCTGCTTCCTCCACCTTGACCCTCATCCTTTGGTTCAGTTCTGCAGCTACCAGCACCAGAGCATAGTGATTGCTCAACAGTCAGTAAGAGCCTTGGATAAACTCACGGGGTCACAGACTCAGAGCCATTAGGGATAGGGAGGAGTGGGGCCTTCCCAGGCCACTCAGCAAGCAGGAGAGTGGCAGAGACTGGATTTCCAAGTCTCCAAACTCCCAGCCAGAGCTCCAGGAGCTCCGCAGCCCTGCCAAGCTGACCCATCTTTCCAGGACATTTTCCTTAGGCCGCCTCATCTTCCAATGACAGGGAGTTCCTCAAGACCAGGTCACCAAGTCTTCCTTCCACACAGGTAAATGTGCAGTATGTTACACAGCGTTGATGCTGACACATTGGCTGGGGATTCCCATATGGCTGCTGGGCCCCATCCTGGGAGAAGGCCCCAACTTCTGGGTCTCAAGACCCCAGAGTCTTTCAGGCATCAAGGCCCAGAGTTTCACCCAGTCCATCTCCGAAGGGCCTGTAGGGGAAATTGGTTCAATCCCCATCTGACAGATAGGGAGATGGAGGCCTGGGGAAGGGCAGGGACTTGCCCACTGAGTGCAGAGCCCAGGCCAGGACACTTCTGTCATAATTCCTTTTCCTAAAGGACCCAGCCCAGAGAAGCTGTAGACTCAGCCGGTTCTCATTTCCCTTTTGGGTCCCTCGGCTCATGCTGATCACTTCATCAAACTGACTCAAGTCTCCTCTGAGCTGGGCACAAGAAAGTGAGATGACTCAGCCTGGCCCTAGCCCTGGATAGCCTCACAGCCAGGAGAGAAGACTGGCTCAAAAACATCCCCCAGGAGACGCCCTGTTACATTGTGTGGACAAGCTGCTGTGCTCACGTGCTCCCACCAACAAGGAACCAGGCAGACCCCTTCATCTCTGTTCAGCTCTGGCTAAGAAAATCCTTCCCTCAATGTTCTGGACATATTATGCAGTGAAATAAGGTAGTCTATGTGGTGTGCAGACAATTTTCTAAAAAGGCCTAGAAGAAAGTCTGGAAGGATGTTCTTCCAACAGTTAAGAGTGGTTTATCTTTGAGCGATGGGGTTGATAGTGATGTTTATTCCTTCTTCATATTTATTCCTATTTTCCAAATTTGCTCTAGCATTTTTTAGCCTTAGTTTTCTAATATATATATGTAAAATAGGGACTAAAATCTCTACCTTACTGGTACACACCAACACCCTTTCATGACTAGAAAAACATTCAACAAACTAAAAATAAAAGAGAACTTCCTTAACTTGATAAAGGCCACCTATGAAAAACCCACCACTAACATCATATTTAATGGTGAAAGACTGGATGCTTTCCCCCTAAGATCAGGAACAAGACAAGGATGCCCACTCTTGACCCTTCTATTCAACATTGTACTGGGGGTTCTAGCCAGGGCAATTAGGTAATGAAATTAAATAAAAGGTATCCAGATCAGAAAAGAAGAAGTAAAGCTATCTATTTGCAGATAACATGTTCTCATATATAGAAAATTATAAGGAATACACACACACACACACACACACACACACACACAAACACACAAACACACACAACCATTAGAGCTAACAAACGAGTTCAGCAAGGCTGCAGGATACAAGCTCAATACACAAAAAGTGTACTTGTATACACTTGCAATGAGCATTGCAAAAATGAAATCAAGAAAATAACTCCACTTACAATAGCATTCAAAAGAATAAAATATTCAGTAACAAATTTAGTAAAAGTACAAAACTTATATTCTGAAAACTACAAAATATATATATTTTTTGAGACAGAGTCTTACTCTGTCACCCAGGCTAGAGCCCAGTGGTGCAATCTCGGCTCACTGCAACCTCCGCCTCCCAGGTTCAAACAATTCTCCTGCCTCAGCCTCCTGAGTAGCTGGGACTACAGGCACCCACCACCACATCTGGCTAATTTTTATATTTTCAGTAGAGACGGGGGGGTTTCACCATGTTGTCCAGGCTGGCCTTGAACCCCTGACCTCGAATGATCCACCCACCTCGGCCTCCCAACATGCTGGGATTACAGGCATAAGCCACCGCACCTGGCCTTAAAACTATGGAATATTGTTGAAAGAAATGAAAGAAGACCTAAGTAAACAAAATGACAGCCCATGTTCATCAATTAGGAGACTTAGTATTATTAGGATAGTAGTATTCCCCAGTTTGATCTACAGATTCAGCACAATCCCTCTCAAAGTCCCAGATGGATTTTGTGCAGAAATTGACAATCTGATCATGACATTCATATGGAAATTCAAAGGACCCCGAATAGCCAAGACAATCTACAAAAAGAAGAACAAAGTTGGAGAACTCACACTTCCCAATTTCAAAACTTACTTTAAAGCTTATAGGCATAAAGAAAGACCTGTAGGAATAGAATTGAGAGTTCAGAAACAAACCTTCACATTTATGGTCAATTGATTTTTAATGAGTGCCAAGATAATTAAATGGAGAAAGAATAGTCTTTTCAACATATGGGTACTGGGACAACTGGATATCCCCATGCAAAAGAATGAAGTGGGATCCCTACCTCATATTATATGTAAAAATATGCTCAAAGTGGACCAAAGACCTAAATAAAAATTAAAACTATAAAACTAAGAAAAAAAATAAGAGTGAATATTTGTGCCAGCCTGGGCAACATGGCAAAACCCCGTCTCTACAAAGAATATAAAAATTAGCCAGGCGTGGTGGTGTGCGCCTATAGTCCCAGCTACTTGGGAGGCTGAGTGGGAGGATTGCTTGAGCCCGGGAGGTCAAGGCTGCAGTGGGCCAAAATCGTGCCAGCGCACTCCAGCCTGGGTAACAGAGTGAGACCCTGTTTCACACGAAGAAAGAAAAAAAGAAAAAGAAAAACATCTTTGTGCCCTTGGATTAGGCATTGATTTCTTAAATATAACTCCAAAAGCACCACCACCAACAACAAAGATAAACTGAATTCCATTAAAATTAAATTTTTTTGTACTAAAAGGACATCATCAAAAAAGTGAAAAGACAATCCACAGAATGGGAGAAAATATACGTAACATATATCAGATAAGGGAATTATAGCCGGAATATATTAAGAACTTTTACATCTCAGTAATAAAAGGACAACCCAATGTTGAAAGAAGAAAGATGATTTACAAATGGCAAATAGCACATGAAAAGATGCTCAGCGTCATGAACCATCATGGAAATGCAAGTCAAAATCGCAGTGGGATGCACTTCATAACCGCTGGGATGGCCATCATCAAACGGTCAGATACTAAGCACTGTTGGTGAGAATGTGGAGAAATCAGAACCCTTATACGCAGCGGGGGAGAA